>NC_000004.12:86345623-86497138 GCF_000001405.40 Homo sapiens | reverse complement strand
TAACTAAACTTTGTAAACAAATTTTTATTGTTTGGAGTGTTGGTTTCTTATAAAGCAGGAAAAATACTCTCCCATAAAAATAAAGTTTTGAGGATAGAATGAAATAGCATGTGAAAATGAGTTATAAATCTTAAAGAGCTAGGTTAATGTAAAGCATAAGCATTATAAGGAATGTGCATATTTTGTGGCAAAAGAGAGATTAGTTAGTGCCGACATTTTAGCTAATTATTTGCAGGATGGGAGGCAGAACTGGATTATCTGGATTATCTATAAAGCTGACTAAGCGTGTGCTTAGCCCTCCAGCAAAGGAGTATTGAGTAATGTTTTTTGTTGGGTGGGGGGGGAATTAAATATTTCTCCTCTAACTCACCAGAAAAAATTAATTGTCATCGGAAAATAGAAATTTGTTGGATTTCTTTATGCTTGTTTTATAGTTTATTGCTTTAAAATTGTAATTTGTAAGGGAGTTGGGGTACTGCATTCTTAAAAAGCACTTAGAATCTCTAAAAAAACTTAACCTAGTCACCATGACATAGTCCCCTTGTATTCTTGTACCTTTCAATGCCTTGAAAAGATCTGGGGTGAAGGAGGACTTCAGGGGTACCTGTTGTATCATGTACTTTGTATAGGCCACAAAAGGGCTGTATTTTTCC
Source organism: Homo sapiens (assembly GCF_000001405.40). NCBI lineage: Eukaryota > Metazoa > Chordata > Mammalia > Primates > Hominidae > Homo > Homo sapiens. Next base: position 86,496,485 of record NC_000004.12, on the reverse strand, counting down.
TTTGCATTATAGGCAGATTCCAAATACAAAATTAATTTAGTGTGAAGCTTCCTAGTAAAACACAAAATAAATGATATGTAATATTGAATAAGAACTATGTTTGATATTTTAAAAAGAACTTAAAAATGGAAATCTTCCAGGTTCAGGCCAATTTTTTATGTTTGGGTTTTTCAAATGCATATTGGCCTCCCTCTAGTGGTAGCTGAGGCAAACTGAACCAAAACCCGGGGCACAAAGCTCGTCTCTGAATCAAAAATAGAGTTTTCAACATCTAAGTCTCTATTTTAATGGCTGGAAAGCATGTAGCTAATATCAGGTTTTGCATTATTTAGATCCTTGGGTTAATTTGAAGTTGTTGTCCCTATAGCATTTGGGCTTTTTTGAACTTTTCTTGTGTTTATTTTTGGTTAATGGAGTGTGTATGTTGTTTTCCACAAAAATGAAGCCCTTTGTTCACTTTTAAATTTCAAATTTTTGATGTTTATGTAATATCTTCTGGCATGAATTATAGAAAAAATGTGTTAATAAGTTTTTGGTAAAACTTGAGATTATTCTTATAGTTTTTTTGGGTAAAAATTAATATATGCAAAAAAATTCAGCCTGGATCCGATGATGACTCTAGATTTAGCTAGCAATTTTCAGAAAACCCAAAGGATGGACAAACATGTTAAAATACCAAGGAGATGTAATCAGTCAGTCAAACTCAGACTGAGAAAGTTCATAGGACATAAAAGCACATTTTTTCAACAAATACATTGCAAGAGGGGGAAAAAGGGAGAGGAAAATGGAACATGAAAATTAAAAGATATTTAAAATACAATAATAATTTACCATATCTCATCTTTGTTTGGATGCTGATTAAATAAGCACCATGGAAAACCCCTATTTGTAATATTTATGAGACAATTAAAATGTCGACACTAAATGTTTGATATTATTAAGGAATTATTTTTAGATGTGATAATGATATTTCAGTTGTGTTAGTTTTGTTATAAAGACAAGCTATTGCATTTTAGAGATTCATCCTGAAATATTTATAAGGGAAATTATATGATATCTAGGATTTCCTTCAAAATAGTCTCAAGGGAAGGGATAGATGGAGGTGTGGATAGGCCAGATTGGCCATGGGCTTGGTACTGGATGGTTATCTGGGAATTCATGATACTATTTTATCTACTTTTGAGTATGTTTAAAATTCTCCATAATAAAACATTTAAAATACCAATAAATTGGTTATAGTACCTTTAATAACAGCTATGTAAATAAATGCCTCCCATCTTACCATATCATTAAACATCATTGTTTTATGGACTACATCCTCAACCCAAGCCAAACTCGCTTTAGGCCTCATGTTGGAGGTATACCCTAAACTTGTTGGAGCAGCCCTGAAAAGTCTGGCTCTGTCTGAAGTGATTTGTTGGACTTCTAAGAAATTGTGTTAGTTTTTTCTGGACCTTAATTCTAATATAAACCAAAAGGCCAAGGTTTCTTAGGGAAGACACCATGAAATAAGCTCGGGTTATCCAACTCCTTAAGATTGAATCAAGATCAACTTAAGGAAAAGTGAGCAAATATTTAGTTATTGATACATAAAATATGTGAAGCTTTTTTTTTTTTTTTTTTTTTTTTTTTTTTTTTTTTTTGAGACGGAGTCTCTCTCTGTCGCCCAGGCTGGAGTGCAGTGGCACGATCTCAGCTCACTGCAAGCTCCGCCTCCCAGGTTCACGCCATTCTCCTGCCTCAGCCTCCTGAGTAGCTGGGACTGCAGGCACCCGCCACCACGGCCAGCTAGTTTTTTGTATTTTCAGTAGAGACGGGGTTTCCATGTTGGCCAGGATGGTCTCAATCTCTTGACCTCGTGATCCGCCCGCCTCAGCCTCCCAAAGTGCTGGGATTACGGGTGTGAGCCACCACGCCCAGCCGTGAAGCATTTTTGAAGTTAGAGTAATGGTGACAAAGAACAAGCCAGTCATGGATCCCAGTATTCACACTCCCTTAGCTCCAGGTTTTAAGTCTTCTCATACAGATATCCCCTCCAGCTCTTTTCCCTTCTCCTGACCATGGCCTTCTGCCTTATCTCAGCCCATGTGGAACGCCAGTCCCCTCCTGTTCCAAGGAGGCTGAGTGTTGCATTGTTTACCTAGAGTTTCCCTGGATTCTTGCTCTGAACATGCTGTCCATGTGGACCCAGAGTACTGCTGTCCTGCCAGACTTCCACTGCCCCTTTCTGGTGAAATACTCCTTCTCCCTACTCACAAACATGGAAGATTGTACCTCGCTGCATCCTCTTGTTGATCTGAAATAAGGATTTTAAATCTAGTGAATAGCTGGTATAGGCTACATGTCCATTACTAAGCTGCATGGAGAAAGAAGCCAGAGAACTTGGAAAGAGAAGTTGCAAGTTCCATCTACTGACAGATGATATCCCAATGCCTAAACTTTTAAGGTCTACTTTCATCTTACATAGAAGCTGAAGGTATAGGAGCATAGGGAAAACCTCCCTGCCCTGAAATTTCTCTCCTTCCTAGATATTACAGTGCCTTTAATATTCCCAGTGGAAATCATGTGGGGTAGGAGATGGCTGGGCTGTCTCTCAGGAAAGAAAGGCTTAAGACTTTACCTTCTCTTGGGTATTGGAAAAAGAAAGGTAGAAGGGACCACAAACACATATACATGCTCTTTTTTTAAAACATTAACAATTTAAAAACCTCCAGGCAAGCAGGGATGCTGATAAAACTATCTGTGTCTTCATCAACCATAGCAACCATTCACAGGGAGATTCTTAGAACTAAAGAGAAAAGCATGAGGAAGTGGGGTTTCCTAACCATAGGGCTTCCTTCCAGGCAGGGTAGGAGTGAAGGGGGAGGGTGAGCTAAATGTGCTAAGGCCCAAAATGACAGAAAGGCTGTCCTGAAGGTTATCACATCTGAAGCAGCCAGAAGCCAATTTCAAAGTGGAGTAGATTCTAGAATCCAGGACAAAGTAAAGACAGCCCAAATTAAATCTAAAAACAAATGGAGAAAGGGAAATGCAATAAAGAAAAGGATCTAGAATAACTACCTAGAATATACGAGAGACCTTTTAAAATTTGCTTTTCTGTGTGCAGATAAATTAATCTAGCATAAGGAGTTAAGATCGACTGAACAAATAATAACTTACTAGGACACCCCTGATAAAAGAAAAACTTCAGCCAAATTAAATTTAAAGGAGTTTAATTGAGCAATGAACGATTCGCAAATCAGGCAGTCCTCAGAATCACAGCAGATTCACAGAGACTCCAGGGGTGCCTTCTGGTGAGAACAAATTTATAGACAAAAAAAGTGACGTACAGGAATCGGAAGTGAGGTACAGAAACAGTGAGATTGGTTACAACTCAGCGTTTGCCTTATTTGAACGCAGTTTGAACATTCAGCAGTCTATGAATGGTTGAAGTATGGCCACTGGGATTGGCTAACACTCAGCTCTTGTCACAGGTGCATACTACTAAGTTAGGTTTTCAATTTTGTCTGACTATTAAGCTAGGTTACAGTTCATCCACAAGGACTCAAATATAGAATTACGGAGTCCTTCTCAGGCCATATTTAGTTTGCTTTAACACCCCTCATACATACCATTCATTTTTAAATTACAGTTTTTGGGTGCCTTCATTTCCAGAAGTAATAGGTATTGTCAGCATATTTCCCAAACCCAAAAGCAAAACATACAGTCCTACAGTGAGTCCAAATTTTTTAAAAATCAAGGTCACCTTGGGAAATTTCATCCACCATGGTAATTTTAGATCAGGAGAACATATACCGTTATTGAGCACCTGCTATGCTCCCAGAACTTTGTTAAATATTTTACATTAATTATCTCATTTAATCTCCACCCTGGGAAATAAGCAAAAATTATTCTCACTTTACAAATACGAAAACTAAGGCCTACTGAAATCAAGTGACTTGCCAAGGTCATAGAGCTCACATGTATGATGGTGCAAGAATTTGAACTCACGGAGTCTAGCTCCAAAGCCTAGACACTGAAACCATTTTGCTGCAGAACTAACAAGGATAGAGGAATATTTTTATTTGGCAAGAAGAATAGGGAATGTGTATTCTATTCATACAGGATGCCCAAGCATCAGATATTTACTTAGGGAAGGGAAAAGGAGAACAGAAAGAATTGTCCACAGCTCCTGAGTTAAATGCTTCATAAAACCCTGCTTTTCCTGTACTGAATTGTCTGCTGGTGTTACAGGATCCTAACTCTTATCATTCCTTCTCGAGACCTACCTTCTGGGTAACTGCTATTTTAGCATTGCACCTTGAATCTGAAGACAGTATTCTTACTTCTCTTACCCTTAGAAAAAACTCACATACTCCAATTTTGAGAACAAATTTAGTCATTTCATATCTGAATGTCTAAATCAAACTTCTCTACTGTTATTAAGAAAAAGCAGAGGTGCTAGTTATTAACAAACCGCTGTCTGCAGAAAAATTGAATGAAGTAACCTATTCATTGGGACTATATCATTTTTTTCTTTTTGTTGTTAAGAATACTTGCTGGAAAGGAAGAGACCTGAGTTAGAAACTGGAGAGGAAATTCATACCTAGGCACAGTCTCTAGCCTTTATGTAAGCTAAAAAAATAAAATAAAATAATCACACACACACACCAGTTTTCTTTTGCTGTTAGGAAAAATAAAAATACTTGTATATGCTTGAAAAACTATAGAATAAAATAATAAGAAATCAGCAAAAACAACAACTAACAAACACTTGTTTTAAAGTTTAGGCATTAAAGTGACACATTTTCCTACTGGGAAATAAAAATGGATTATTAACTGATATCCCGAATGGACCTATATGCTTCGATTTAGAGTCTTTCTTACCAGGTGATGAGACCTAAGGGGAAAATAATCCCTATATCAAAGTGCTGGAGCCAGAGCTGCTAGGAGATAATATCCTGCGAAACCAGATATTTTGATTCACCCAGCCTTGCAGTAAAGAGGAGTGTCTGGAGTTTTTAACTCTGGTGAGCATGTAGGTTCATAGTCACAATCTTCAGAACTGGGGTTGGGGTCATGAGGGTATAACAAAGCTCCACTGCAATGGCAAAGGGAGCGGCTTGAGGGTCCTGGCAGGATCTAATCCTGAGCAGGTACTCTGGTACCATCAACCATGTGATGCACTTGTTGGACAGGTGTGCTTGCCCCTCACTCTGGGAGTGCCACTGTCCTTCCTGCCCTGTGGAGCTGTCTGTGTGCAAAGTCAATTTTGTTGCACCTACATTTGAGGAACTTGTATCCTTTGCCTGTGTCTGTGGGATGCTTTCATCCATCACAGCACTGCTACTCTGACTGCCATACTTTGCTCCGGCCTCTGATCCACACAGCTCAACTCATGTCTCCCATGCATGGGATAGCCAAGAATCCAGACTTTTGCCCACAGTAGATCACATCTTTATACAAAACAAACAAGCTAACTAGCTAGTTTTGAGGACTGAGGGAATTTAGCTAGATAGCACGTTTTTAAAGTCAGCGACTCTGTATTACTCATCCTTTTTTCCCCAGTACCTAACACAGTATCTGGTACATAGTAGTATGTAAGGTTTAGGAGCTAAATAAATCATCCTTGCTTTCCTTCTTAAGTTGGAGCTGACTGGTAGATAGACACGGGAATCAGATAGCTGGCAATCAACAGGCTGCTGTTAGCACATAAGTTACCTTTGTTTAGATTAGAAAAGCCACCTCCTTTCTTTTCATTTGAGCATATGAATTAGAAGAAAACACCCACTCCTGGAAGATGATTGTAAAGAACTGTCTCTGCGTGGGTGAATTAGAAGGAAGGTACCAGGGAACTGGCTTGGTGTGCAGAAGCTGGGCTGGACTTTAGTCCCTACTTGTCTCTCAGGCCAGTGCCTTTTTGTGGGGTGACTCTAGAGATCAAAATAGAAGGGAGTTTTTGTTTTTGTTTCTTTAAATTTTGTAAAAGTTGAATTAGAGTATATTGCATGGATGGGCCATCTGATCTCGCATTAATTGAATTTACTTTTCAAAGTAGTAGGATTCTCCTTATAGGGCTAGAACTTGGCCCATACGCTTACCACATAGTACAGAGTCAACCAGGATGCCCTCCCTGGACCAACAGTTGTGAAGAAGTGAGGCCCAGAAAAGCCTCTGTCAAGCTTGCTCAATTCTTTCTCCTCAAGTCTACAATAATAGACTTAATTCCTTTCCCTTAGGAGGAATGAAGGAATGTGGGGAGGGAGACCAAAGATACTACTGTTGCAGTAGTTCTTACTCTTGGAATCATAGGAATAGGAGAAAGGAGCTTCTCAGTGGCATAACTACTCAATTAATATTTCCTGAATGAGTGGATCAATTTAAGAACAAGCAGATACACTATTTATTGTATGAATTTAACTAGGAAAAAACAACAGTAGAATAGCCAGGAGGAAAGTTTTGTGGGCAAAACGAATATTTTGTGTTTTGCTAATGTATTGGGAGTATGTGAACCATACTTGGCTTGTTATTTGGAGGGCTTGGTTAGACCATGATGCTGGAGATGGGGGGACTGACTACTGAGAGTGGAACAGAAAAAAGGGCCCTTTGAAGAGCTTAAGTGTTCAGAGAATGAGTTGGAAGAGACTCAGGATGTGTGGATTTTGGTGGAGAAAGATTAATTTTGATGGAGAAAGATTAATCAACTTGTTCAGAAACCATTCAGGATTGACTAGAGGAGAGGAGATGAGACGGAGTTAGAGCAGTGACTTCTTAGCCTGGGTACATTTGAGAAGACTCTAGCTCTAGGGGATATAATGATGGGTGCTTTTGTTCCTTGAGAGGAGAAAAAAAAGGGACAAACCCATGAATTCTCAAAATACTACTTTAGGAGAAATCCTTTTCCTTTTTGGTATCGGTTAGAATGCTGCACAAGTGAAAGAATAAGGAGGTGAGGAGGCTTATTTTGGGGCCTGTTTTTGGAGACTGAGTGTGCTATCTTATTTATTACACTTCAATTACATCACTAATTCATATTAGTTTATCAGTTTAGTCAAGGATTTTGAGGTCCCAAAACATATGAAACAAATGAGTTTTGATGGTGGAGAAAAGATCAGCCTTTCGGTGGGGAGTGGGTGACACTGGGATGAAGACGGACAGCCAGGAGGTAGGAGGAGAGCAGCGCCTACTTTGAGATACTTGAGTCTATAATTAGTTATCTATTACTGCATAAATAATTATCCCAAGACTTACTGGCTTAAAATGGCAGTCATTATTTAGCTCACAATTAAGGTATGGGATCAGTGTGGTGGTTGTCCCGGCTTAGCTGGGTTTACTCATGAGTCTGTAGTCATCTGCTGCTTCTGGATAAGTTATTGGGTCAGCTAGGGGTTGGCTGGTCCTGTATGGCTTCCCTCAGATGTCAGGTGGCTGTTGGCTAGAGTATCTTGGTTCTCCTCCAGTGGCCTCCACATTAACACTGGACTGAAAAGTGCTGGTTTCAAGTTTCCAGGTGCAGCAAGAGAACAAGCCCGAATGCGCAAACACTTTTCAAGCCTCTGCTGCATCTTTGCTAATGTCACATTTGGCCGGTCCTGTGGCCAAACCCAGATTCAAAAGGTATCTCTTGATGGGAGGAGCTACACTGCCACAGGGAAGGAAAGAATCTGAGGTTATTTTTACCACTTACTCTAGGATTCTAGGCTGAGGTGAGGACTGCAGTTTGAAGATGATGGAAGAGAGAGGTGCAGAAATGGGGAAGGGTGGGCAGTACCGATCATCTTTGTCTACTTCGGAGCCTTTCTGGGACTGTCCTAACATGGTCTCTGTGCCATTGTGTAGTGCAAAGAACTCTGGAGGTATCTACAGGCAGATTCAGAAACCACAGTTAGCATCAAAAATCACTGGGAAAGGGAAAAACTAATAGAAGAAAGGAGTGTGGGTGATTAGAGGATACATATCATAAGAAAATTTTAAAATGTTGCCCAAGACAGCCTTAAATATTATTTCAACTCAATCCAGTAATCTAGTTCTGATATTACCCTCCCAATATCTGGATGGGAAAATTGGGTAAGGGGATATTATCCAACTCATAAAACTTTGCACAAGGGGCTTGAGGAAACCAGGAACAATGCTTATTGAAGCTGGAACTATACATTGATGAAAAGGTATCATTTCCCTTACTGTTGTGAAAAACCGGGGACATCTTACAATAGGTTCTTTTTCATCAGCTGTGTCGAGAGAATAAAAGGATAATGTCTGTGGCCAATATTACTGAATTGTGCTTGCTAGAGCCTTAATGAGATGATTAATGATCTGAGCAGAGCATCATTTCAGATATGGGAGGAGGTGGGGGAATGGTGTGAGGGAGCTGCTTTTCCTTCAGTGAGCTAATCTGTCAAGGGATTGAATTAAGACGGCAAGTGGAGCTGAGGGAAAAACTTGCCTCATTCTCTCCCCATCTGGGCCTCCTCTCCTCTCTTCTCCTCTGCTGTCCTCTAGGTAGCATCAGACCTTGAGGCCTCTGAGTCCCAATTTCTCCTCAGTAAAATGAGGACAATAATCTCTCTCTCTCAGACTATTGTGCAATCTACCTTAACATCAAGGCCTAAAACTTTACACCACTCAGAACTCCTTCACCTCTTATCTTTTTTATTTGTTCTTTTGATTTTATTTTAAGTTGTATTTTGAAATAATTTTAAACTTATAGAAAGGTTGAAAGATAGGGAGTCCCATTTACTCTTTATTCAGATTTAACAATTTTTTTTTTTTTTTTTTTGAGACAGAGTCTCGTGCTGTTGCCCAGGCTGGAGTGCAGTGGCACTATCTCAGCTCACTGCAAGCTCTGCCTCCCAGGTTCACACCATTCTCCTGCCTCAGCCTCCCAAGTAGCTGGGACTACAGGCACCTGCCACCATGCCTGGCTAATTTTTTTTGTATTTTTAGTAGAGACGGGGTTTCACTGTGTTAGCCAGGATGGTCTTGATCTCCTGACTTCGTGATCCACTCACCTCGGCCTCCCAAAGTGCTGGGATTACAGGTGTGAGCCACCGCACCCGGCCCAGATTTAACAATTTTTGACACTTTGTTACCTTTGCTTTATTATACTCCTTCTTTCTCTCTCTACACACACACACACACACACACTCTCTCTCTCTCTTTTATGAACTATTTTAGATAGCTTGCAATCATTCCCTCTTACCTCTTAGTCCTTTATTGTGTATTTCCTAAGAAAAAAAGGTATCCTCTTACATTACCATAATACAGTTGTCAAATTTATAAAATTTAACATTGAAACAATACTTTTTCCACTCCATACTCCATAATCTAATTTGCAAATTGCCCTAATCATGTCTGTTATGGCATTTTCCCCTTCCAGTACAGAATCCAGCATAGGATCCTGCATTGCAATCGACTGTCTCATGTCTTCAGTACCCAAATCTGGAAGATTTCCTTAGCTTTTCCGTATCTTTCATGACACTGATATTTTCAAATATAAGACGGCTATGTGACAGAATGTTCATCACTTTGGGTTTGTCTGATGTTTCTTGATGATTAGGCTCAGATCGTGCCTTTCTTGCTGCATAAGACATCAGTGATTTGTCCTTCTCAGAGTACTGTGTTTCAGGCACATAGTGTCTGTCTGCCCCTCACTGGTGATGTTAATTCAATCACCTCATCAAGATGTTGTTTGGTTTCTCCACCATATAGTTACTATTTCCCTCTTTCAACCACTAAACAATCTGTGGGGAGACACTTTGGGACTGCGTACATATCCTGTTCCTCATCTAACTTTTCCCCCTGGACTTTGCATCCAAAGATAATTCTTTTCTGAATCAATCTTTATTATGATAGTTGCAGAGTTTTCTTTGCCTAACCTCATGCCATATTTTTATCTTTCTTTTTCCACAGTCATTTAGAACCTGGCACCCAAGAACATAATCACATTATTCATTTTCTCAATATTATGATACCCATAAAGTAGTTTCACAATTGCTATACCCATATCTCAATGAAAAATAAACTTACTAGAAAAAATTCAAGATTTGTTTGCAGTTCTTTTGTTCCCTAGATTGTGGGTATATTGTCAAAATCATGTGATCAAAAGTTACTTGCATTGCTTCTCTTTTTCTTTTTCTTCTGTATGGTAGTTATCCTTCTCTACTCCCCAGTGTGGTTATGCATGTGTGTATGTATGTATGTATGTTTTAGAGATTGAGTCTTGCTGTGTTGCCCTGGCTGGAGTGCAGTGGCTATTCACAAGTGTGATAATGGCCCAGTACAATCCAAACTTCTTGCTTCAAGTGATCCTCCTGCCTCAGCCTCCCGAGTAGCTGGGACTACAGGTGGGCACCACCACACCCAACTTTCCATGTGATTATTTAATAAAATACAGTTAATTTGTGACTGTGTCTATTCAGTTTTAGGGTTTTCCCCTCTCCTACATCATCTCCCCAAATCTAAAATTTATGGCCTACCATATTAGTTGGCCTGGGCTGCCATGACAGAATACCACAGACTGGAGGGCTTAAATAGCAGAATTTTATTTTTCACTTCTCAGGCGGCTGGAAGTTCACAATAAAGGTGCCAGGAGGGTTGGTTTCTGGTTAGGCCTCTTTTCCTGGCTTGCAAATGGCTGCCTTTCACTATGTCCTCACATGGCCTTTTCTCTATGCGTGAACTCTGTTGTCTTTTTCTCAGCTTATAAGGACAATAGTCCTATTGAATTAAGGCCCTTCCCTTGAGGCCTGTGTAACTGTAATTATCTCTTTACAGACCTTATCTCCAAATACAGTCAATGGAGTTGAGGGGTTCAACAAATGAATTTTGCAATGGCACAGTTCAGTCTATACCATCTACTGTCTTTCCAGCTTTCTCATTCTTTCTCTGATGAAGCTCTTGGAACTTCTTTTGAAACTCATTAAGACTCCTGATTCCTTTTGGTTTATTTCCTTCCTTGTTTAACTATTTGCATATTCATTCTTTCACAATTCATCTGATCATTCATTAATTTACTTATCCAAATATTATTTATTAAACACCTATTAAGGATAATGCACTTTGCTAGACATAGGAGATACAGTGGTGAGGAGGAAAACTGAAAAAGGATATGTTCCTAGGGCTTAGAGTCAACTGAGGGAGTCTGACATTAATCAAAAAGTCAAATATTATATTTAAAAAATTTTAAACATGTAAAAATTACACTACAATTGTGCTCCCAAGAATATACATATAAGAAAGTGTAAGAGGAGGGAACTGATCAATTTAGTGTGGTTGGGGAAGGCATCTCCAGTAAGATGATCTTCATGCTGGGATCTAATGGAAGGCTAAAGGTTAAGTGGGGGAAGAAGAAAAAAGTAAAAGGGAGGTGGGGGTAACAGGGAAATTATGGTGACCCAAACCAAAAACCAGAAAGTCCTCTTGAGCTCTCTTCCTTGCTTCCCAGCATCTAATCTGCCACCTAGTCCTATTCATCCGACCTTGTAAATATCTCTTATCTGACATATCTTACTACACATAACCACTTATTTAATTCAGACTCCTGACTGCTCTCTCTTAGACTTTTACAGAAGCCTCTTAAATACACTCCCCCTGCTTTCTGTCTTACTGCCTTTAAATTTATTCTCTGTAGTACACAAGAGACCGGTGCAGTATATTCTGTGTTATAAGAAACAGTGTGGGCTTTGGAGCAGAAGCAGCTCTGTCACTTAGTTATATGTCTTTCTGCAAGTAACTTAATTTCTTTAAGTTTCAGTTTTTTTTTAAATCTGTAAAATAAACATAATAATACCCACATTTTGTCTGGTTCACATAAAGATTAGATAGATGTCAAAAATGTGCTCAAGCATAATGCCTGGTCTAGCATCATAATGGGTAGCATTAAATTATGTGCTGGGTGTTGTGCTAACTGCTTAATGTGTACTACCTCATTTATCTTTGGGTGGATTTTATTATCCCCATTTTCCAGATGATAAAATGATTACAACTTGCACAGAGTCACAAAGCAAGTAAAGTATCAAGGAATTCAAGCCTAGTCAGTTGGCCTCCATAACACCTGCTGTTAACCACACAACCACAACTACTAGGAGAGACAGGATGAGAAAGTGAGAACATTACGAAAGCTTGCCTCCGTTCTTAGCTGCTAGATGAACTTGGACAAGTTATTTAAAGTTTTGAGCATCAGTTATCTGCAAAATGAGGATAATAACACTTGCTTGTAATGTGATAATGGGAGTTAAATAAGAATGAATTATATAAAGTGAATGGCGCCCATTAGCACTCAATAAAGGATATTTATTCTTGTTATTTCTAGGTTAAAAATATAATCCTTTAGCCACTCCGTTTAAACATCCTGTTAAATTCTCTCGGCTTCAAGGATAAAGCCCACACTCCTTATCATGGAATACCAAGCCTCCATTACTTGCTTCCTCCCCTCATCTTCCAGCTTGAGCTTTAATAATACAACTGCTGTGGCTCCCCTGAAGTGCATTGCTCTCCCATAAATCTCTGCCTTTGGAAGCCTGCTCTCTTGGCCTGGAAAACTGTCCTTCCTTCTCTTGCTCCTATTCCAACATTTGTCTTCTGGCTACCTCTTATTCTTTAATCTTTGGATCTTCCCCTCCCCCTCTTCTTTTATAAAGCCCTCAATCATAGAAAGGTTGTCCTTTCTCAGATGCTGTTGTAAGTGTGCATACATCCATCTAATCTCATTTCATGATTGTTTACTCATCTTTTTTCCCTGCTAGACTGTGAGCTGTTAGAGGGTAGAGACTTTAGTTTTGATATTCCAAGACTTAGCAGGGTAGTCAGGCAATGAATGCTTGATGTGTGAGGACTAAATGCAATAATTGGAGGTATAGAATCTGGTTCTTAGCAGGTGTTCGATAAATATTGTCCAATGTTTTAATAATTTTTGTATAAATATTATATATTCCATTTTAATAATATTTATTATTTATTAATTATAGCGTGATGTTTGCGGCTTAGCGGTCTTTCTGCCCTTTGTTTCTTTGAACATATTTCAGAATTTGCACGTTTCATGAAGTCTCTCTAGTTTGTTCTATATTCTTACTTATCAGTAGAAGTAATTATAAAGTGATTCTGCATTCTGCTTGCTTTCATTATTTTCCTAAGTGAAAGTTTCCAGTTTTTGGATTTTTTTTTAAGCACACTCATAATCAAATGCAGTGTCTTTTGTTAAGTTGTTAACTGACCTAAAATATGGGCATTTCAACTAATTCAAGCTGAGAAGAATCGGTGAGGATTCTGCAGAAAAGACATAAAGAAATAAACATGACAATCAACACAAAGAAAGTTGGAAATCCTTTTAGAGGGGTACGGTTTACCAATGTGACGACATCTTCTCTTTTGACAAAGATTCAGTGCTGGCAGCCCCTGCTGGGGAGACGGTAGAAGAGGAAGAGAGGAACTACAGGGACACAATTTAAATGTTTTGACAGCTTAGTCAAAGAAGTGAATTGCTGCAGGCATTTGCACATTTAACCCCTGCTGTGACAGCTGCAATTCTTTCTCTCTCTGTCTAAATCCTACAATCAGCTCTTTGGAAAGCTAAATGTTGTATGCCTAACACAAAAAATAAATGAGAAAAGAGGGAAAAAAATTAGGTGAGCCAGAATGGAATATACTCAAATCTCTGTTAGGTGGCAGTGATTTATCTTAATTTTCTTACTTTCATTTTTCATTAGCCATAACCTAGAGTGCTAGAATTCTGTGCCTGATTCTCTTGGGCCTCATGCAACAACACATTCTGGCAGGATGAACAGTTTTAATGGTGAGGAATATGATTATGATATGCTTCAATTTAGTTCCAAACTTTACTGAGCTAGTCCTTCATAATTCATAGATGCTTCTGCTCATTTTTGTCAAAACAGTGCTTATGGGAAGAGGCAAGTCAATCAACAATTTCTCATTGTTGGAACAAGGCATATTTTTCACAACGGCAGGAGCTCTCTGTCTTTGTCTCTGTTTCTATGTCCCTTTCTTCCTCCCTCTGCATCCCCCCACCATCCTTCAAATCATGGCACGTAACTAGAAAAAGAGCAAGATGAAAAGGAAAAGAGGAGTGTGGTATTTGGGGCACTGACTTAACACAGCATTTCATTCTACAAGCAAGATTTATGTTGGTGGACTGACTATTGTTTGAAATGAAATCCAGTAACACTAAGTTTTTGGCAACATTAAAAAAATCTCACCTCACAATTCATAATCACCTACTGCTCTATTAGGTGCAGGGAAGAATTTAAGAAATATAAAACAATGTCTGCATGTCCTGTTCCCCTACAAATGAGCTAGGCAGGAGTGTAGAATTCAGGAATTAAAATGCTTATTTTAAAATTTATGAAACTTGTAAGAGTTTTCATGGATAAACAAGGCCAACATGAAATCACTTAAAATGTATCCTCTTTTTGAAATGTTGTACTTCATTGTATTATAAAATCAATTATAAATTTCTTGAAAAGTTTGATTTCTAATAAACTGCACTGTTTTCCCTGGTCTTGTATTACGGTTATTCTTTCCAGTGGCTTTTCCTTTAGAATTACTAAAATCCCATGATTTACTCCTACTTGACTTTAAAACAGTTAAGAAAAATAACTCAAAGTGCTGAGAACTTAGAGAAATCAAGCAGTCCAGAGTTAAATAGAAAGTATGCATTGTTTTGCTTGTCAGATTGGCAGTTTCCATTAGATGATTTCATGGGGTTAATTTGAATTTCTTGCCTTCTTAAAATTGTAAGACAACTACATTCTTAGGCACCTGTTTCTAGCAGTACGTACTTGCCTTTAAATCTCTTTTCATTGTAATGGACTAAGTGGTTGCTCAGCCTAGAGAACAAGTAAATCTCTGTAAGCACTTAACTCACTACTGGGGAAACATTTCTGGAACAGTTCATTATGTGTCACAGCTAGGGTCAACACTCAAATAATGGATGAGAACAATACCAAATATTTTTAGTGGAGACTAATTAAGAGGTAAGCAAGAGGGATTGCATGGCTACATGGTGTAGAAACAGAATTTTAGAGGATGGGAATAATAGTGGCAATGGTTTTTTTTTTTTTTTTCCTCCACTTTCACAACTTTCAGTTAAAAATCTGTGGCCATGTTGGGGTTCAAAAAACAATACCCCAAAGTAAGGTGCTTTAGTATGCTGATTGGTGCCTTAAACTCAAGGAGATTAGAAGGCCTCTGAAGCAAGGTCTCTCTGATTTTCTCCTGCCCTCCTGTCTCTCACTTCACTTTCTCCCCCAAGCAAGTCATAGAAGCTAGAATTCTTCTTCCCCACGGTAAGCCATAGAAACCAGAACTTCTTTCCTCCAAAGACAGCTACAAAACCTAGAAATATCATTCTAACCTTCCACTGGTTTCCTGTTTAGGAAGGAATTTGCAATATAGAAATTCTCTGACTTGCTTTGTCTGATTGTAGGTCATAAGATCCTCATTCTATAGAGGTCTTGTCCTATACCTGGGTTGAAGGAATCCTACACAGAAAGGCCAAGAAGAATCTGAATGGACAGCCTTGTTGGTTTTCCTGCCTCATTGTGTTACTGTTAGATCATTCCCTTTTTGTCTAATCATATTTCTACATCGCTGGCCATTCTTTATCAAATCTAAGCATAACAATTGACAGTTTTCCCTGGGTCTTTCGATCTTCATTTCTGAAGTCTCCTGTGTCACATAACACTTTGATTAAATAAATTTGTTATGCTTTTCTCTTAACCTGTCTTTTGTTGCAAGAATGACAGCTGTAACCCTTATGATGGATGAGGAAAGATATCACCTTTTCCACTCCTACAGCCTCAAAACTGTCTCTAATAAATTGAACTCCAGCAGGGGTTATGGAAATTGAATGTTAAAGTCCTTGGCTACAAATTTTATCATCTTTAATTCCAAATGTTCTTTTCTTCATTTTGTGTCAGGGTGGGAGGGAGTATTTACAAAGATTCCTGAAGAACTGTCAAAAGGTGTTCATTTCACTCGCATCCGTGTGAAGAGACCACCAAACAGGCTTTGTGTGAGCAATAAAGCTTTTTAATCACCTGGGTGCAGGTGGGCTGAGTCTGAAAAGAGAGTCAGTGAAGAGAGATAGGGGTGGGGTCATTTTATAAGATTTGGGTAGGTAAAGGAAAATTACAGTCAAAGGCAGTTGTTCTCTGGCGGGCAGGAGTGGGGGGGTCACAGGGTGCTCAGTGGGGGAGATTTTTGAGCCAGGATGAGCCAGGAGAAGGAATTTCACAAGGTAATGTCATCAGTTAAGGCAAGGACCGGCCATTTTCACTTCTTTTGTGGTGGAATGTCATCAGTTAAGGCAGGAACAGGCCATTTAAATATCACTTCTTTTGTGATTCTTCAGTTACTTCAGGCCATCTAGGTGTATACGTGCAGGTCACAGGGGATATGATGGCTTAGCTTGGGCTCAGAGGCCTGACATTCCTGTCTTCTTATATTAGTAAGAAAAATAAAACATAATAGTGTTGAAGTGTTGGGGTGGCGAAAATTTTTGGGGGTGGTATGGAGAGATAATGGGCGATGTTTCTCAGGGATGCTTCGAGCAGGATTAGGGGTGGCGTGGGAACCTAGAGTGGGAGAGATTAAGCTGAAGGAAGATTTTGTGGTAAGGGGGGATATTGTGGGGTTGTTAGAAGAAACATTTGTCTTATAGAATTATTGGTGATGGCCTGGATACAATTTTGTGGGAATTGAAAAAATAATGGAATAAGACAAGGAGAAAAACAGGTATTAAAGGAGTAAGAATTGGGAGGACCTAGGACATCTAACTAGAGAGTGCCTAAGGAAGTTCAGCATAGCCCTGCCGGCAAAGATGATTTATTTACTTTAAGAGGGAGTTAAGAGTGGCGGTTTGGGGATAGCACCAGGAGACATCAGCTGTGGTGGCTTGGAGAAACAGTGTAAATCGGCAGTGTAAATAAGAGCAGGGCATTTATGAGTAGTTGAGAATGGTGAATAGGAGTATGACTAGACAGAAGATAGTAGGGACGACAAGTTTTTTTTTTTTTTTGGTGGGGGGTGCAGTCCAAGTTGGTCTAGTGTCTGGAATGAGACTGGGGCCTAATAAAAAGGAGCGTCTATACAGGAGCTCAAATGGGCTGTACCTTGTAGCATTCCAAGGACAGGCCCGAATTCTGAGAAGGGCAAGTGGTAAAAGTATTGTCCAGTCCTTTTTAAGTTGGTGGCTGAGCTTGGTAAGGTGTGGTTTTAAAAGACCATTAGTTCACTGAATACTAAGAGCCTGAGAAACTGCTTGGGTGATTTGACTAATAAAGGCCGGTCCCTTACAGGACTGTATAGAGGTGGGAAGGCCAAACCGAGGAATTCTGTCTGACAGAAGGAAAGAAATGACCGTGGTGGGTCATTTCTCAGATCCTGTGGGAAAGGCCTCTACCTATCCAGTGAAAGTGTCTACCAAGACCAAGAGGTATTTTAGTTTCCTGACTCAGGGCATGTTGAGTAAAGCTAATTTGCCGGTCCTGGGCAGGGGCAAATCCCTGAGCTTCATGTGTAGGGAAGGGAGGGGGCCTGAATAATCTCTGAGGAGTAGTAGAATAGCAGATGGAAGACTGAGAAGTTATTTCTTTGAGAATAGATTTCCACGATGGAAAGGAAATCAGAGGTTCTAAGAGGCAGGCTAGTGGCTTGAACTATAGCATGGCCTGCCTTTGCTGGTGTGTTGCGATTAGGCCTGGTGGAACTGCCATCAATAAACCAAGTGTGATCTGGGTGAGGAACAGGAAAGAAGGAAGTATGGGGAAATGGGGTGAATGTCAGGTGGATCAGAGAGATATAGTCATGGGGCTCAGGTGTGGTATCAGGAATAATGTGGGAGGCCGGATTGAAGTCCAGGCCAGGAACAATGGTAATTGTGGGAGACTCAACAAAGAGTGAGTACAGCTGAAGGAGCCGGGGAGCAGAAAGTATATGTGTCAGGTGTGAGGAAGAAAATAGAGTTTGGAAGTTATGAGAACTGTAGAGAGTGAGTTGAGCATAGTTTGTAATTTTAAGGGCCTCTAAAAGTATTAGGGCAGTGGTGGCCACTGCACACAGACTTGAGGGCTAGGCAAAACAGTAAGGTCAAGTTGTTTGGATAAAAAGGTTACAGGGCGTAGTCCCGGTTCTTGTGTAAGAATTCCGACTGCACAACCCTGCACTTTGGCTGTGGGTAATGAAAAGGGTTGGGATGAGTCAGGGAAAGCTAGGGTGGGGGCAGTCTCTAAAGCTCTCTTCAAGGAATGGAAAGAGGAGTGGGGAAAGGATTTAGGATCTACGGGGTCAGCTAGGTTTCCTTTTATGAGTTTATATAATGGTTTTGTTATGGCAAAACCAGGTATCCAAAGTCGAAAGTATCCAACCATGCCTAGGAAGGAAAGGAGTTGTTGTTTTGTAGAAGGTGTGGGGTTTGAGAGATCAGTTGGACACAATCGGTGGGGAAAGCACGTGTGTTTTTATGATAATTATGCCGAGATAGGTAACAGATGAGGAAGAAATTTGGGCTTGACTGAAGTAATGGAGGCTGTCCGTGAAGCCTTGCGGCAGTACAGCCCAGGTAATTTGCTGAGCCTGATGGGTGTCAGGGTCAGTCCAAGTGAAAGCAAAGAGAGGCTGGGACGAAGGGTGCAAAGGAATAGTAGAGAAAACATGTTTGAGATCCAGAACAGAATAATGGGTTGTGGAGGGAGGTATTGAGGATAGGAGAGTATACGGGTTTGGCACCATGGGGTGGATAGGCAAAACAATTTGGTTGATAAGGTGCAGATCCTGAACTAACCTGTAAGGCTTGTCAGGTTTTTGGACAGGTAAAATGGGGGAACTGTAAGGAGAGTTTATAGGCTTTAAAAGGCCATGCTGTAACAGGCAAGTGATAACAGGCTTTAATCCTTTTAAAGCGTGCTGTGGGATGGGATATTGGCGTTGAGCAGGGTAAGGGTGATTAGGTTGTAATGAGATGGTAGGGGTACATGATCGGTCACCAAGGAGAGAGTAGAGGTATCTTATACTTGTGGGTTAAGGTGGGGAGATACAAGGGGAGGATGTGAAGGAGGCTTTGAACTGGGAGAAAAGGTGGCAATGAGGTGTGGCTGTAGCCCAGGAATAGTCAGGGAAGCAGATAATTTAGTTAAAGTGTCTTGGCCTGATAAGGGAACTGGGCAGGTGGGGATAACTAAAAAGGAGTGCTTAAAAGAGTATTGTCTAAATTGGCACCAGAGTTGGGGAGTTTTAAGAGATTTAGAAGCCTGGCTGTCAATACCCACGACAGTTATGGAGGCAAGGGAAACAGGCCCTTGAAAATAAGGTAATGTGGAGTGAGTAGCCTCTGTATTGATTAAGAAGGGGATGGACTTACCCTCCACTGTGAGAGTTATCTAGAGCATCTGTGATGGTCCTGTAGGCTTCTGAGGCAATCGGGCAGTGTCAGTCTTCAGCTGCTAAGCCGAGAGGATCTGGGAAGGAGTCAGTCAGAGAGCCTTGGGTCAGAGTTCCAGGGGCTCTGGGAGTGGCTGCCAGGTAAGTTGAACAGTCTGATTTTCAGTGGGGTCCCGCACAGATGAGACATGGCTTAGGAGGAATCCTGGGCTGTGGGCATTCCTTGGTCCAGTGGCCAGATTTCTGGCACTTGTAGCAAGCTCCTGGGGGAGGAGATTCTAGAGGAACCCCTGGCAGCTGTGGTTCAGGCGTTTGGAGTTCTTGTATGCTGGTGATGTGGCTGGGGCTTGTCTCACAGTGGAGGCAAGGAATTGCAACTCAGAAATACATTGCTACTTGGCTGCCTCTACTCTATTATTGTACACCTTAAAGGTGAGGTTAATTAAGTCCTGTTGTGGGGTTTGAGGGCCAGAATTTAATTTTTGGAGCTTTATTTCATGTCAGGAACAGATTGGGTAATAAAATAAAATGCATATTGAGAATAAGACGGCCTTCTGACCTTTCAGGGTCTAGGGCTTTAAAGCGTCTCAGGGTTGCTGCCAAATGAGCCATGAACTGGGCTGGGTTTTTCATATTTGATGAAAAAGAGCCTAAACACTAACTGATTTTGGGAGATGTCAGATAAAGAAAAAGGAGCATTAACCTTGACTATGCCTTTAGCTCCAGCCACCTTTTTAAGAGGAAATTGCTGGGCTGGTGGGGGAAGGCTAGTCACAGAACGAAACTGTAAGCTGGACTGGGTGGAAGGAGTGGAGGTGATAAAAGGATTATAGGGTGGGGGAGCAGAAGCTGAGGAAGAATTGGGACCTGGCTCGGCCTGGTGAGGAGCAGAGAGGTCAGATGGGTCTGTAGAAAAGGAAGATTAGAAAGACTCAGCAATGCTTGGGGTTGGGACTGAGGGGACAGGTGGGAAGGAAAGAAGGAGGATCTGGGATAAGTCACATTGGTAACAGACTAGGGAGGGAACAATGTGTAAAAGAATGCCTGGACGTCAGGCATCTCGGACCGTTTGCCCATTTTATGATAAGAATTATCTAGATCTTGTAGGATGGAAAAATCAAAAGTGCCGTTTTCTGGCTATTTGGAACCACTGTCGAGTTTGTATTGGGGCCAAACGGTATTGTAGAAGAAAATAAGGCGTTTAGGTTTAGGTCAGGTGTGAGTTGAAGAGGTTCTTGAGAACACAGGCTAAGGGAGAAGGAGGAATGGAGGGGTGAAGGCTGCCCATAGTGAAGGAGGCAAGCCCAGAGAAAAGAGAGAGTAGAGACATGGAGAGAAGGGGTGGGGGGTTCTTGCCCCCTAGAAAAGCGGTACTTGCCGCTAAGGGTGAAGAAGGGGTTGGGAGGTTCTTGCCCCCCAGAAAAGCAGTACTTGCCGTTAAGGGTGAAGGACCAAGGCAGGCGTCCCCATGTGGTCAGACACCTCTGAAATGTGGGTGAATAATCAGGCAGGCATCCCCGCATGATTAAACACCAAGGGAAGACTGTCTTCCCGAGTCCGTGACCGGCGCCAGAGTTTTGGGTCCACGGATAAAACGTGTCTCCTGTCTCTACGAGGAAAGGAAAGGAACTGAAATTAAGAGAAGGGAGAGATTGAAGTGTGGCGCCAAGATTGAAAGGAGAAAGAGGTTGAGGGATAGTGAGAGAGGTTGGAGAAGAGAGTAAAAAGAAGCCACTTACCGGATTTAAAATTGGTGTGATGTTCCTTGGGCTGGTCGGTCTGAGGACCCGAGGTCGTAGGTAGATCTTTCTCATGGAGCAAAGAGCAGGAGGACAGGGGATTGATCTCCCAAGGAAGGTCCCCTGATCCGAGTCATGGCACCAAAATTTCACTTGTGTCTGTGTGAAGAGACCCCACCAAACAGACTTTGTGTGAGCAATAAAGCTTTTTAATCACCTGGGTGCAGGTGGGCTGAGTCTGAAAAGAGAGTCAGTGAAGAGAGATGGAGTGGGGCCGTTTTATAAGATTTGGGTAGCTAAAGGAAAATTACAGTCAAAGGGGGTTGTTCTCTGGCAGGCAGGAGTGGGGGTCACAAGGTGCTCAGTCGGGGAGCTTTTTGAGCCAGGATGAGCCAGGAGAAGGAATTTCACAAGGTAATGTCATCATTTAAGGCAAGGACCGGCCATTTTCACTTCTTTTGTGGTGGAATGTCATCAGTTAAGGCAGGAACAGGCCATTTAAATATCACTTCTTTTGTGATTCTTCAGTTATTTCAGGCCATCTGGATGTATATGTGCAGGTCACAGGGGATATGATGGCTTAGCTTGGGCTCAGAGGCCTGACAGTTCACTCATTTATTAATTCCTTCATTTATATGGCCAGTCAAGCTTCTCTGGAATGCTCACTTTATATTAGCTGCTAGTCAGTACTTTTCCTTCAGCTCATTTTCTAGCTTTGTAAACTAAACTGGGGTGCAGTGGGTTGAAGTGGTTAAGTATGATGATGAAGAAAAAAATTAACATTTTCAGAGACTGGTAGAATAATGTTTGGTGTGTGAAAATTTTCTCAGTGTATTTTGCCAAAGACAATTTATAATTGAAAGTGCTGAATAACTTTCGGACCTCTCTATGCTTTTGGAGGACAATGGATAAGTCTGTGTTAATAGTAACTCCAATTTAAATATTTCATTTGAGTTTCATTTTATGATATAAACATAGGTAATTTTTTTTAAAGCCATGTATTAATTTCAACACTATGGATTCAACCTTAGGATGTCTCAATTAATGTATATACAAGCTATATTAATACTGATTCATCTCTGGAGATTGCTCCCAATAACTTTTAGAACTTTCCATATTAACCATAAAAATAATCAAATGTAAGTTTATAGCTACTTTATTCATTTCTAACAAATAAAAATTGTGCACCAATGATATGCCAAAAGTATCCAAAGATGAATAAAACTGAAACCCTGTTGGAAATATATACATGACACACTGTAAAGTTTTCTTTAAAAAGCAAGTTGCTAAGTTACATGTGGTGCATGATCCCATTTGTGAATAACAAAGTACATATATATGCGTGGAAATGTATGTGGGACGAAGTTGTTAATAATTCTTTTTTTTTTGGTAGAGACAAAGTCTCACTATGTTGCCAGGGCTGGTCTTGAACTCCTGGCCTTAAGCTATCCTTCCATCTCAGACTTCCAAAGTGCTGAGATTACAGGCATGAACCACAGCGTCCAGCTAGACTCTCATGCCTGGAGGATATAGCATTGCTGGCTGCTGGAATCACCTCACTTCTCTGGGAACTTTCCTTTCTCAAAGAAGAATGATTTTCTGTAGTCACAGACATATTACAAATTTCTACCCCTCCCTGACCTCAGCTAGTGGACTAGTGGACATTAGAACCAAGGAGAGCCAAAGTGTTGTCTGGGTTGAACCAGTTTAGATTTTCTCTAATGCGGTTTTAAAATTGGGATACAGAAAGGCACATGAGTTGGTGAATTTGCTGGAATAGGGAGTCACAGTGTTTGGGCCTCTATGTGAGTAGCAGAGAAAATTAGGCTGGGGCTGGAGGAAGAGAGAGACTATTTCCTAATCTCTTTCCAATTCTTGGACTCAGCTATGTAAATCTTACTGTACTTTCTGCCTTTAGTTCCCAGAATTTTTTCTTTTTAAATAAAAAACCTTTCTATACTCAATCTATTTTGAATGAAATTTTTGGTAATTCAGAGAACCTTCACAGTAGGTCATTCATTTCCTCTTTTTGAAAATTCAATCCTGCTGCTCTAAAGTAACTTTCCCTAAGGTCGATATGTGATATCTGTTCAAATAAACCCTGCTTTGACCTCCAACTAGAAATACAGTATTTGTGGCTTCAACATATTTTAAGACCACAATTTCTAAGCAAAAATTTTTAGAAAAATTTCATTTTTGCAGGTCCTAAATAGAACTAAAGAAACATTTTTATTTTCAAATATAAGTGAATCAGAAATGACATTATTTCATCTGAAAAATAACAGGTAATATTTTCTCCCCCTGTTAACAGTGGAGAGTGTCCAGGTTCTTGGAGTCTTGAACAAAGTATTGGACAAAATGCACAAACAAAGCAAGGAAGGAATGAAAGGTTCTATTGAAAATGAAAGTACACTCCACACTGTGGGAGCAGGCCTGAGCATAGGGGCTCAAAAGGCCTGTTACAGAGTTTTTGTGAGTTTAAATACCCTCTCCCTGGGGTACGCCCTGTGTAAATGAAGAGGATGAAGTAGAGTTACAAAGTCATTTACAGTATACACCCTGTGGAGAGAATATTTCCTGTTACAGCTGTAGTGTGAATTGACCTTATGTTCCCCTGCCTCCAGACCCTATTTTCCTGCCTCACCCCTATACAGTTTATTGTATGATGAGTTTACACATTTCAGAATCTTATCTTGTCTTTCTACTCTGCAACTTTTTTTTTTTGGAGACAGGATCTTGCTTCTCACTCTGTTGCACAGGCTGAAGTGCAGTGGTGTGATCACAGCTCACTGCAGGCTCAACCTGCCTGGCTCAAGTGATCCTCCCACCACCCTCCCAAGTAGTGGGACTACAGGTGTGCACCATCATGCTCTGCTAATTTTGTTGTATTTCTTGTAGAGATGGGGTTTTGCCATGTTGCCCAGGCTGGTCACAGCTTTGTCTTTTTTCTGTAGTCTGTAATTTTTTTTTAAACCTTATTGTGTGAATCCAGTGTCAAACTACTTTTCTTAGATGTTCACAAATGGATAATTATTCACATCGGTATTTGAAGATCTCTTAACAAGATCCATAAATACCACTTAGAATTGCTCTTACTAGTTTAAAAACTTTGTAGGAAAGTAAAATTGTAGAATACATAATATCAATCTACTGAATAAAAGCATTTAAATGAACTAAAATAAAATTTTATTATCAAATGTTTGTGTGCTTCTCAATGTTTTATTTTTCAAACAGAAAACTCTTTAACTTGAAATGTTCATCAATTTAAAGATTAAATCAGCTGAAATAATATTAGAATTTGATATATGATGAATTTTAGTCTTCTGAACTATAACTCAATTTGGTACATGTAATCAGTTTATTATGGCAATTGGTTTATTCCTGATGAATGTTGGTATGAAATTTTTTCAATAACTACAACAAAACCCCTAAACTCTTAAAAAGCAAATGACTGTAATTTTATTAAAAGACAACATTTTTGGGTTACGCTGAGTTTCAGTATTTTACTTATACATTCAGTTTCTACAGTCATCATCTCTGATTTCATATTAAAGAGGTACACAGAAATCACCTGGGTTTCTCTTTGTTGAAAAAAAAGGAAAACATAGCAGATGCATTATAGTAATTAAGTAACAATTTTTGCTGCAGGCAAAAAATATCTTTCAGGCATTTTAATTAAGCCAACTATGTTTCAGCATGCTTGCAAATGTACTTCATTTGATCTTCACAAAATCTGAAGTATGGTATACATAACAACAGTGATAACATGGTAAATGTTTTATATTTTCAGGAAACAACCATTTTTATATAATTACTTTAAACTGTAAAATGTATTTCTGTTTTTCAAATATAAATCCAGGCAATTGTATTTAATTTAAGGAAAACATGAGAGGCCAATTATTTTGAGAAATGATGGCTTTGTGTTCAGCATCCATTAGATTCAGTTTTCATGGGTTTATCTCTTATTTTGTAAGAATACATCAGTTTAACACTTACGAAATAAGACTTTTTTCCTTAATGATAATTTCTCCATATGATCACATTTTTATTGCAATTGTACTATATGTACTAGTTTAATTCTTTTTTTTTTTTTTTTTTTTGCAGGGGGGCACAGAGTCTTGCTGTGTCGCTCAGGCTGGAGTGCAATGGCATGATCTCAGCTCACTGCAACCTCCACCTCCTGGGTTCAAGCAATTCTCCTGCCTCAGCCTCCTGAGTAATTGGGATTACAGGCACGTGCCACCACACCCAGCTAATTTTTGTGTTTTTAGTAGAGATGGGGTTTCACCATATTGGTCAGGCTGGTCTTGAACTCCTGACCTTGTGATCCACCCACGTCAGCCTCCCAAAGTGCTGGGATTACAGGTGTGAGCCACCATGCCCAGCCTAATTCTTCGTTAGCAATACAATGCCAGTAAATATTTAAATAAGAATAAAACTTATAACTGGATTTGTTTTGGTAAGTAGTTTTGGCTACTAATCTTAATTTCTTGATTTTGAGTCACCTGACTTTTGGTTTGGTTTATTTTGGAATTCCTTTATTATTTTTCACATCACCTTTTAACTATCTTGTATAATAATTTTTTAAAAAGAAATATAGGAAAGTCTTGTCTTCTACATGCAAAGCAATACATTCACCTAACATTCAATTCTTTCCCTTGGTATTAAACAGTTATGAATCCCTTTGGCTGCAAAGGGAGAATAAAGAAGTAGCAAGATATAGAATGAAAAAACAAAAAGGAAGAAAAAATAGGGGAGATGAAATGGGAACAAGGCAAATAAATTATATTTAACAGAAAGAGGTATGAGAAAATTAATGAATTAAGAAGATAAGGAAATAGGTAAATATTAAAATAAGAAGACAATATAGGAAAGCAAATATTTATTTTAGTTAAATCAAACATGATTTTATGAATAAAAAGAGGTTTAACTCTCCTAGAAGACATAAATGTTAAAATATCTATTCAGACTTGTCCCAATTTAAATAAAAACACAATCTTGTATGATAAAAATATTCCAATACTGTTATTTTCTCTATAACCATAATTCTCTGGGACAGGAAATTCCAAATGACATCAACTTCATGTTTCAGTTACAAACTAAATTAAAATTATTTTAGAATAAAAATGGGATGCATCTTCATTTAGAAGCCAGATGCCTTATTAAATATAATTTCCTCTGTTGGCTGCTTTATATTAAGGGTGGATTTAGAATAAGAACAGCTTCTGTGAAATATAATTATACCCCCTTTTGTGACTTTCATGGTCATGGAGGCTGGAATAAGAAAGTAGCTAACAAACAAAGCTGCAAAGCAGTGTTTACTTTTGGTCTAAAGGATTTGCTTAAATCTTAAATCAGCTATCATTTTCTTTTGCTATTCCAGAACCTTGTATTGTCTAGATTATGTTGGATTGATTGATATATCCAGAGTTTTCTGCTATGGCTTTTAGAAAAAGCCTCATTGCCCTATGCAATTCTCAGTCATCAAATACTTCTTTGGTGAATTTACATATTTTACAATTGTCTTTACCTCTTAGTCTTAAAAAAATCTCTCAAATGGATGCAGCCCCATCAAAGACAGAAGAATAAGCTATATCTGGTATTTGGGAATTACAATTCTTTTTGTTTCTTTGGGCACATCCTGGTGAAAGAATGGCTTCTTTCTCTTAATGATGGTTTCAGCTTTTGCCCCCTTTAAAAAATTATTAAAGCATACATGTATTTGTTTGCATATATAAATAACCATAGTAGGAGGTATTTACTATCCTCTTTCTGCTACTTATGCTTGATGAAATTGGAAAGTATTGGCAATTGGAAAATCTTGGCAGTGAGTGATTGCCTGGTTCTTAAAGTTCATTCAAGTGTTTTCTGCATTATCTACTAGACAGAACCATAGAATCCAGGAGCTGTCTGGTTTCCTGGTCCAACAACCTGCCCAATACTCTTGTTCTTAGTGTGCATACAGATAATGTCTGGGCACTGGTACTGGGGAGGAACTCCAGACTTGCAAGGTAGCCCATTCCACCTTTGGACAACTTAGATATTCTTCATTAGATTCTGCTGAAGCCTTCTGAAGCTTCCATTTATTGATCACAATTCTTTTTGTTCTGTTTTGTTTTGTTTTTTTGAGACAAAAAACTTGCTTTGTCACCCAGGCTGGAGTGCAGTGGTGCGATCATAGGGCTCAAGGCTCAAGGGGACAACCACCTCAGCTTCCCAAGTAGCTAGAATTGATCACAATTCTAATGGCAACATGTGGAAACCTTCTATGCCATTTCCCACATAACAAGCCTTCATAACAAGCCACATAACAAGCCTTCATATATCTGAAGGCAGCTTCTCTGCCCCTCTGAGTCTTTGCTTTCCCAGATTTAACATTCCCACTTTCTTCATTTGTATTTCTTATGAATCCCCTGACCAGCCTGGTCAATTGGGAATTCTAATCCTACCTCTACTACACAGTTGCTATGAGTTGAGTTCTGTTGCTTTGTTATTTTCCTTCTTTTTCTTTTCTTTTTTTTTGAGATGGAGTCTCACTCTGTCACCCAGGCTGGAGTGCAGTGGCATGATCTTGGCTCACTGCAACCTCTGCCTCCTGGGTTCAAGCAATTCTCCTGCCTCAGCCTCCAGAGGAGCTGGGACTACAGGTGCATGCCACCACGCCTGGCTAATTTTTGTATTTTTAGTAGAGATGGGGTATCACCATGTTGACCAGGCTGATCCCAAACTCCTGACCTCAAGTGATCCACCCGCCTGGGCCTTCCAAAGTGCTGGGATTACAGGTGTGAGCCACCATGCCCAACTGCTTTGTTATTTTCACACTTATATCATCAGGACATTTTGAAAAAACTATTCTGTTTCACCTTTTAGAAATGACTATTTTTCTATTTAATAAGCTCTTCAAAATCTGGTTCATATTATAAAATAATTCAAAATGCATAAAAGTATGCCTATACCCCTATTGTCAAATAAAAAACCCAGACTTAGTAAGGAGAGCCATTATTTGAAAGGATTATTGCGAAGTGGTCAAAGGGACTATTGCAATAGGGGGAGGGGGACTCTTGCAATAGGGAGAATGTTTTGACCATAATATATGCAAGCATCTCAAGAGGTAGGCAAAAAAAGGATTTTCTTTTACAGAGAGAAGTAGCAAGGCTAGCAACAACCAGGTATGGGGAAGCAGGATGAAAGCGTAGCAATATCAGATAGTAGGTTAGAGAATGTTTTACCTTGGAGCCAGCCTATTCTCAGGAGGGTTTAAGGAGGAGTTGTAGGCTGACCAAAATTCAGGGACCTGGGAAAAGGAGAGAAGCTAAAGCAAAGTTTCTGGTTAGCAAGCATTTTGTTCTGGCCGACCGGCGGGGCAAGCAGTTCAGCTAATCATTTATGAGGCAAAGAATGGGAATTTAGAATGTCTGTATCTGGCCTCGTTGCAAGGTAAGCAAGGGGCACATCTATGAGTCTTCTCTAATTTATATGGGGACTCTTGGTTTTTTTCAGTAAGCCAGTTTCTGGAACACAAAAGGGTTGGTATTGGGGACTTCTTTAAACAATGGTAGGCTGGGTGCCGTGGCTCACGCCTGCCATTCCCGCACTTTGGGAGGCCGAGGTGCGCGGATCACGAGGTCAAGAGATCGAGACCATCCTGGCCAACGTGGTGAAACCCTGTCTCTATTAAAAATACAAAAATTAGCTGGGCATGGTGGCACATGCCTGTAATCCCAGCTACTCAGGAGGCTGAGGCAGGAGAATCGCTTGAACCCGGGAGGCGGAGGTTGCAGTGAGCCAAGATTGCGCCACTCCACTCCAGCCTGGTGACAGAGCGAAACTCCGTCTCAAAAACAAACAAACAAACAAACAAAAATGCTGTTTTCCAGGATAACAGGGCTCAGGTAAATACAACATTGTCTCTATACATCACCTGATTTAAGAAATGTCAAGATTGCTTTGGCCATTTTTGCTTCAAAAACATTTTTAAAAGAAATATACACTGTAGACACAGTGAAACCCCTCAACCTATTTTATTTCCTTATCTTTCTCTGCAAAGTCAACCACTTTTAACTGGTTGCTGTGAATCTCTTGTTTTTGGTGAAAACTGGACAATTTAAGAATTCAATTTGATTATGCGACACTTGGCACAAATGACTCCATTCTGATTTGGTTTGGTCTGTTGGGGCCTACTGTGAGGCCCGCTTCAATACAGTGGCCTTCTATAATTTTTGGTTAACAATTTGAATGTAGCCATCATCTCAGTCAACTTAAGCTGAATCACGCCAGGGTCATAAAACTCCCAAATTTCAGAGTTTGCTGCAACTGACATATTTTCTTGTTCACATTCACATGGGTTGACAGGCTCTGTTCCACATCATCTTCACTCCAGGGACTGCAGCTGAAGATGCAGCACATATCTTGGACATGGTGGTCTTGTGACAGAAAAGAGAGACAACAGACCCACAGGAGGGCTTTTAAAGCTTCTGTTTCAATATCACATTATAGTCACATTTTGTTGCTGAAGCAAGTGACCTTGGCTGAGGGCATATAATCTCCCGCAGGTTAGCCTGGGAGGGAGGGGCAGCAAATATTTTCACAGGGGTACAATCAACCACACTAGGTGTCCCAAACCCTCTTTTGTTCTGTGTGCTTTTCATGCTGTGCTTAAGAAATAATTCCCTAACCAAATGCCATAAAAAAGATTCTCCTACATGTTCTGTGAAAGACTTGATTTTTACATTTGTATTTTTGACCTATCTGGAATCTATATTTGGGTATGGTATGAGATAGAGATCTAATTTTATTATTTTTTTAGTTAATCAATTACACTGCCAAGACAAGCTCGGTTGTGGAGACCCTAACCCAGTGGCACTAGAGAAATTAAAGACACACACACAGAAATATAGCATGTGGCCTACAACGGGCCATATCATTTGAGGTTGAGGTGTCACTATACTGCTATGTTTCCAGATAATAGGAACTCTTGCTGTACTTCCTACCATTTCTACCATCTGACCATTTTGTTCAGACCAGCTGAACATAGTGTGGCCGTGGCATGCAGACTGAGAGGTGCTATTTAAGCTAAATGTCCCCTTAGGGGACCAATCAATAATGATTCCATAGGAATCGTTGCACAGCACCTCTGCCTGTTCTGCAATTCAATCTTCCCAAACAAGTACATTCATTATTTCTAACTGGGTCCAATCCTGTTTACAAATAAGTTTTTGAGGGCGGTATGCCTCAATTATAGGAGTAGATTTATTATGGTAAATACTGAGACCAGAAAGCATGTGTAACTGTCATAAAGTGATTACATCCAGGCATTATTGCCAGCCAAGATTGATAAATATGCCCAATAAGTATAATTATTCTCTGTGTCAGCCCTTGTTGAAGGAATACTCATGGCAATGGTGATCACCGCTATCATAGCTACCATTAAGTTACTCATTGTGACTGGTTGTCCCGCTTTCCTCAGGTTTTCTTCCGCCATCTGTGACAGCTTCTTGATCTGTCCCCAGGTAGGTGGCTGTGTTCGACAGGTGCTGCTCGTGACAGCTGGGGTCCTTCTCAGTGTCAGTCTCAACATGGCTGTAACTGGGGGGTCCTCAGGATCCTCCCGGAATCTCTTCCTCGGCATCTGGCTCATGATAAGGTTTCAGGTGTCCTGATGATATCCAAATTGGCTGTTGATTTGGTCCTGGAGAAACACAAGCATAACCTCTACCCCAAGTTATTATTTTACCTATTTCCCAACTTTTTGTTATCGGATCTCTCCACCAAATGAGTTGTTCTGCCTCTGTCTTTGCAGCTGGTTTCTGTAGATGCTGTTCAGCTTCTGATAGCATCTTGCCTTTCGGCAGGCTCAAAAAATTTAAAATTATTAATGCTAGATTCAGTTGCATTTGGGATGTCCCATAGTCACTATTTCTCCCCCTTTTTTGTTTTTGTAACTGCTGTTTCAGGGAGAGATTCATTCTTTCCACTATGGCTTGCCCTTGAGAATTATATGTGATACCAGGAATGTGTTTAATATTCTATACAGAGAAAAATGTAGCTAGAGCTTGGCTAGTATAGTCTGGGGCATTATCTGTTTTAATAGAAGCTGGAATGCCCATCACCACCAAACACTGCAAAAGGTGACATTTAACACAGGCAGAAGACTCTCCTGATTGGCATGTAGTCCAGACAAAGTGAGAAAAGGTGTCCACACATACATGTACATAAGCTAGTCTCCCAAACAAGGGAACATGTGTGACATCCATTTGCCAAAGAGAGTTAGGTTCCAATCCTCGAGGATTAACTCCTCCTGTAAAAGATGAGGAATGTACCATTTCACAAGTTGGGCATCGCTGGATAATAGCTTTAGCTTCTTTCCAGATAATGCTGTATCTGTGTTTGAGACCAGAGACATTAACGTGTGTTAAATTGTGAAAGTGTCTAGCATTAGATATTGCATTAGCAACTAGGCGATTAGCCATTTGATTCCCTGCAGTCAAAAGTCCCGGAAGAGGTGTATGAGCCCTAATGTGAGTGATGTAAAAAGGGTGCATTCTTTTTTTTTTTTTGAGACAGAGTCTCGCTCTGTTGCCCAGCCTGGAGTGCAGTGGTATGATCTCGGCTCACTGCAAGCGCCACCTCCTGGGTTCACGCCACTCTCCTGCCTCAGCCTCCTGAGGAGCTGGGACTAGAGGTGCCCGCCACCATGCCTGGCTAATTTTTTGTACTTTAGTAGAGACGGGGTTTCGCCGTGTTAGCCAGGATGGTCTTGATCTCCTGACCTCGTGATCTGCCTGCCTCAGCATCCGAAAGTGCTGGGATTACAGGCATGAGCCACTGCACCCAGCAAAAAGGGTGCATTCTACTCTTAACTGCTGTTTGCAATTGAGTAAAGAAAGTCATCAGTTGTTCATCTGTATGAAATCATAACTGAGCATTTTCAATTAATTGTGTGGAATGAACCACGTGTGAAGAATCAGAAATCACATTAATAGGCATATCAAAAGCAGTGAATACCTCAATTACAGCTAAGCTGAAGTATAGAGCATTTGGAAAACTTTACCTTTTGATCCAGAATAAGAAGCTTTACCATTACTAGACCCATCTGTAAAAACATTCTTAGCACCTTCAATTGGTTTAAATTAGTTATTTTAGGGAAAATCCAATTAGTTAATTTCAAAAATGGAAACAGTTTCGTTTTAAGAAAATGGTTATCGAGAATACCCACAAAGTCAGCTAAATGGGTTTAATGAGTAAGACTATTTATAAAAGCTTGCTGTATTTGTGCCTTCATGAGGGACAATAATTTTTCCAGGATCATATCCATGTAATTTAACAATCTGAGTTCTCCCATTTCCTATCATAGTCACGGTTTGATCCAAATAAAGAGTTAGAGTCTGTGAATTAGTATGTGGAAGAAAAAGCCACTCTACAAGATCTTGCTCTTGAACAATAATACTAGTAGGTGAATGCTGAGTTGGAAAAATTAGCAAATCTAGAGTCTTCTCTGGATCTATTCAATTTATTTGAGCTTTATGGACTTGCTTTTTGATTAGCTGCAGCTCTGCCTGAGCTTCTTTTGTTAATTGCCAAGGCTAGGGAGACTAGGATCTCCTCTAAGGATAGAAAATAGATTACTCATGGCATAGGTAGGAATGCCTAGAGCAGGTCATATCCAATTAATGTCCCCTAGTAATTTTTGAAAGTCATTTAATGTTTCCAATTGATCCCTACATATGGCTACTTTGTGTGGCACAATGGTAATATCATTTACTAAGGTCCCCAAGTAGGAGTAAGGAGTAGCAGTCTGAATTTTGTCAGGAGCTATAATTAAGCCAGCACGAGAAATTGAATTTTGCAAGTGATCATAACATTGGAGTAATATTTCTTGAGTGGAGGCAGCACAAAGTATATCATCCATATAATGAATAATGTAACACTGTGAAAATTTTTTACGAGTAGGTTCAATTGCTTGCCCTACATAAGTCTGGCAAATTGTTGAACTGTTTAATATGCCTTATGGCAACACTTTCCAATGATAACACTTAGCAGGCTGCAGGTTGTTTACTGCAGGAATTGTAAATGCAAACCATTCACAGTCTTGCTCAGCTAAGTGGATAGTAAAGAAACAATCTTTTACATCCATGACTATTAAAGGCCAATTTTTTGTAATCATAGAAGGAGAAGGCAATTCTGGCTGTAATGTCCCCATAGGTTGTATAACTGAATTAATGCCTCTTGAATCAGTTAACATTCTCCATTTACCTGATTTTTTCTTAATTGCGAAAACTGGAGAATTCCAAGGGGAAAATATTGGAGCTATGTGTCCTTTTTCTAATTGTTCATTAACTAATTCCTTCAAAGTCTCCAGTTTCTCTTTACTTAGTGGCCATTGTTCTATCCAAATTGGCTTATCTGTTAACCATTTTAAAGGTATAGATTCTGGAGGCTTAACAATGGCTGCCATCAAAAATGATATCCTCAACCTTGGCAGGAACTTTGTCTTTCTGCTTGAAGCAGTTCCTTCAAACCTTGCAAATTTTTTCCTAGTCCCATACCAGGGACATATTCCATTTCATGCATCATATGTTGACTTTGAGGGCTATATAACTGTTCTAGAATTAGAACTTGTGCTCCCCATTGTTGTAATAAATCTCTTCCCCATAAATTTATAGGTACAGAAGTTATAATTGGTTGAATATTCCCAGGTTGTCCATCAGGCCCTTCACAGTGCAAAATATAACTACTTTGATATACTTCAAGGGCTTTACCAACTCCAGCTACATTAAATTGAGCGGGTTGAATTGGCCACGTGGACGGCTGGTGCTGTAGAGAAGTGATTGAAATGTCTGCTTCTGTATCTACCAAACCTTCAAATTTCTTTCCTTGAATAGTTATTTCACAGGTAGGATGTTTATCAGGAATTTGATTCACCCAATAAGCCGCTTTGCCTTATTGATTTGTGCTTCCAAATCCTCCTGTTCATTTAATTTCACTTTTCCCCATTTCCACATACAGCACAATCAGGAGCTGTGTTATAGGCTCTCCTGGCTCTGTTTTCCAGGGAACGGAAGTAGATATAACAATTTGAATATCCCCATTGTAATGTGAATCAATGACTCCTCTTTGTACTTGTACCCCTTTTAAATTTAAACTAGACCTTCCTAGAAGTAATCCTATCATCCCCGCTGGCAAGGGTCCACAGACTCCTGTTGGGACCTTTTGTGGGGGTTCCCTAGGCAGAAGACTCATAGCTTTTGTGCAGTATCAATCTACTGCAGTACTACTGGCTGTGGCGCTGTGGCGGGGGACAAATATTGTATAGGGGTGAGGGAGTGGCCTGAGCTGGAAATGCCCCAGTTTGGAACGGGGCCCAGGATGGGCCCTGCATGGCATTTCCTGAATTTAAAAGGAAAAGGCTCAAATGTAGCTATATTTCCCTGTTGATTTGGGGGGTGTATGCTAACAGGGAACTGCCAAGCCTCTAAATCATCCTTTCGTTTAGCTTGCTGAATTCCTGCCTGAATAGAACTGAGAGTGGTCACTCAAGGTGCTGCTCGAACAGTTACTGGGGCAACTACTTTTTGCCCAGTGTCCTCCAGAAAAGAAAGATCTGGAGGGTCAGGCCACTCTTTTTCTTCAAAATAATGAGGGGATGCAGAAGGGTAGGGATGAACCTCTTCCTCCTTTGCCGCTTTAGCTTTAGCTGGCAAACAAATCTGCTCTGTTACTTCTTCTGTTACTTCATTATACTCTCCTTCCTCCTCATCATCAGTGTGAAAAGGTTCCAAGATGGAATGAACCAGAGCCCACAGTTGTCCCATTGTTACCCTGATGCTTCCAAGCTCCCCTTCTTACTCACCATGGGGATTGCTTAAGATACTCAGGTGAAGTGATCCACCCACCTTGGCCTCCCAAAGTGCTGGAATTACAGGTGTGAGCCACCACACCCGGCCTTGATTCCAGGTCTTTAGATAATAACTTAATGATTTCAACTAACTGCCAATCAGAAAATCTTTGACTCCACCTGTGACTTGGAGCCCCTCCAGACCCTGTGCCTTCCCCATCCACTTCAAGTTGTCCCGCCTTTCTGGATTGATGTCTGCCTGTAACTTCTGTCCTCCTCAAATGTATAAAACCAAGCTGTAAACCAACCGCCTTGGGCACAGTTTCTCAGGAACTCCTTGGGCTTTGTCACAGGCCTTGGTCACTCATATTTGGCTCAGAATAAACCTCTTTAAATATTTCAAAAAAAAAAAAGAGTACTCAGGTGTCCTCCAGCTTAGTTCCACGTTCTCCAACCATCACTCCAATGACCCTTCGACCTGGGTTTGAGCCCCACGTATGGGCATCATTTGCTGAGACCAGCTCGGTCATGGAGACCCTAACCCAGTGGTGCTAGAGGAATTAAAGACACACACACAGAAATATAGCATGTGGAGAGGGAATTCAGGGGTCTCACAGCCTTCAGAGCTGAGAGCCCTGAACAGAGATTTACCCACATATTTATTGACAGTAAGCCAGTGATAAGCATTGTTTCTATAGATTATAGATTAACTAAAAGTATTCCTTACCGGAAACAAAGAGATGGGCCAAAATAAAGAGATGGGCTCTGGCTAGTTAACTGCAGCAGGAACATGTCCTTAAGGAACCCATCACTCATGCTATTGTTTGTGGTTTAAGAATGCCTTAAGTGGTTTTCTGCCTTGGGTGGGCCAGGTGTTGCTTGCCCTTATTCTGTAAACTGACAGCCTTCCAGCGTGGGCGTCATGGCCATCATGAGCATGTCACAGTGCTGCAGATATTTTGTTTATGGCCAGTTTTGGGGCCAGTTTATGGCCAGATTTGGGGGCCTGTTCCCAGCATTACACTATTGGCATTAATTGGTGGTTCCATCCTTTTTCTTCTGATTTTTACATGTGACGGGTGATCTCTGTCACATATCCAGTTCCCATGTATATGGGAACCATTCTACCCTTCCCTCTGGGTCTCCTGTAAAGGAGAAAGTGTGTTCCTGGACTTGGTTTTCTATGCCTTCTCTCCTGGCCCTGCCTTCCAGAACCAAGGCATTGGCTTCTTCAGGCACATCTCTGGCTTTGAGTCCCTGTTTCATGTCTGGCACTTAAGATGTACATTTCTAATGTTTTATCAATACCCAACTATGTAGTTAAGTTTATTTGGGGGTTATATTTTAGCCATCACTTCTATGTGTTGCTAATTGAGGGGAGTCTGAACATCTCAGTCTGCCCAGTTGCTGAAACCCATAGAAGACTCTTTAAAAATTTAAACTCTGCTATATTCAAATGAACAAAGATTTAATGATAGATTTAGTGGTAACCTGATTGACAAAAATATTTATTTTATGGAACATAAACTTTCCCAGGGAATCTCAAATTCTGTTTTGAATTTGAAACAACTAGCTTTTTTTTTAGATTTTTTTCTTAGAAGTTTATTTTTTAATTAAATTTTTTATTTCCATAAGTTATTGGGGAACAGGTGGTGTTTGGTTACATGAGTAAGTTCTTCGGTGATGATTTGTGAGATTTTGGTGCACCCATCACCCGAGCAGTATACACTCCACCCAATTTGTGATCTTTTATCCCTCACCCCCTTCCCACCCTTTCTGCCTGAGTCCCCAGAGTCCATTGTGTCATTCTTATGCCTTTGCATCCTCATAGCTTAGCTCCCACATATAAGTGAGAACATATGATGTTTGGTTTTCCATTCCTGAGTTACTTCATTTAGAATAATAGTCTCCAATCTCATCCAGGTCACTGCGAATGCCATTAATTCATTCCTTTTTATGGCTGAGTAGTATTCCATCATCTATCTATCTATATATACATATCTCACAGTTTCTTTATCCATTCTTTGATTGATGGGCATTTGGGTTGGTTCCACATTTTTGCAATTGCAAATTGTGCTGCTATAAACATGTGTGTGCAAGTATCTTTTTAGTGACTTCTTTTCCTCTGGAGAGATACCCAGTAGTGGGATTGCTTAGATCAAATGGTAGTTCTACTTTTAGTTCTTTAAGGAATCTCCACACTTTTTTTCATAGTGGTTTTACTAGTTTATGTTCCCACCAGCAGCGTAGAAGTGTTCCCTGTTCACTGCATCCACGCCAGCATCTATTATTTTTTGATTATAGCCATTCTTGCAAGAGTAAGGTGGTATTGCATTGTGGTTTTGACTTGAATTTCCCTGATCACTAGTGATGTTGAGCATTTTTTCATATGTTTGTTGTCCATTTGTATATCCTCTTTTGAGAATTGTCTATTCATGGCCTTAGCCCACTTTTTTATGGCCTTGTTTGTTTTTTTTCTTGCTAATTTGTTTGAGTTCATTGTAGATTCTGGGTATTAGTCCTTTGTCAGATGTATAGATTGTGATTTTTCTCCCATTCTGTGGGTTGTCTATTCACTCTGCTGACTGTTCCTTCTGCTGTGTAAAAGCTCTTTTGTTTAAGTCCCAGCTATTTATCTTTGTTTTTATTGCATTTACTTCTGGGTTCGTGGTCATGAAATCTTTGCCTGAGCCAATGTCTAGAAGGGTTTTTCCAAAGCCATCTTCTAGAATTTCTAGTTTCAGGTCTTGGATTTAAGTCCTTGATCCATCTTGAGTTGATTTTTGTATAAGGTGAGAGATGAGGATCCAGTTTCATTCTCTTACATGTGGCTTGCCAATTATCCCAGCACCATTTGTTGAATAGGGTGTCCTTTCCCTTCTTTATGTTTTTGTTTGCTTTATTGAAAATCAGTTGGCTGTAAGTATTTGGGTTTATTTCTGGGTTTTCTATTCTATTACATTGGTCTATATGCCTATATTTATACCAGCACCATGCTGTTTTGATGACTATGGCCTTATAGCACAGTTTGAAATCAGGTCATGTGATGCGTCCAGATTTGTTCTTTTTTTTTTGTTTTTGAGATGGAGTTTCGCTCTGTTGCCCAGGCTGGAGTGCAATGGCATGATCTCAGCTCACCAAAACCCTTGCCTCCTGGGTTCAAGTGATTCTCCTGCCTCGGCCTCCCAAGTAGCTGGATTACAGGCATGTGCCACCACGCCCGGCTAGTTTTTTTTTTTTTTGAGACAGAGTCTTGCTCTGTCACCCAGGCTGGAGTGCAGTGGTGCAATCTTGGCTCACTGCAACCTCCACCTCCCAGGTTCAAGCAATTCTCCTGCCTCAGCTTCCTAAGTAGCTGGGATTACAGGCATATGCCACCATGCCTGGCTAATTTTTGTATTTTTTTAGTGGAGACGGAGTTTCACCATGTTGGCCAGGCTGGTCCTGAACTCCTGACCTCAGGTGATCTGCCTGCCTTGGCCTCCCAAAGTGCTGGAATTACAGGCATGAGCCACCGTGCCTGGCCTAATTTTGTATTTTTTAGTAGAGATGAGTTTTCTCCATGTTGGTCAGGCTGGTCTCAAACTCCTGACCTCAGGTGATCCTCCAATCTCAGCCTCCCAAAGTGCTGGGATTACAGGTGTGAGCCACCGCTCCCAGCCCAGATTTGTTCTTTTGCTGAGTCTTGCTTTGGCTATGTAGGCTCTTTTTTGGTTCCGTATGGATTTTAGGATTTTTTTTTTCTAATTCTGTGAAGAATGATGGTGGTATTTTGATGTGAATTGCATTGAATTTGTAGATTACTTTTGGCAGTATGGTCATTTTCACAATATTGATTCTACCTATCCATGAGCATGGGATGTGTTTCCATTTGTTTGTGTCATCTATGATTTCTTTCGGCAACGTTTTGTAGTTTTCTTTGTAGAGGTCTTTTACCTCCTTGGTTAGGTATATTCGTAATTATTTTATTTTGTTTTGCAGCTATTGTAAAAAGGTTGAATTCTTGATTTGATTCTCAGCTTGGTTGCTATTGGTGTATAGAAGAGCTATTGATTTGTGTATGTTGATTTTTGTATCTGGAAACTTTGCAGAATTCTTTTATGAGTTCTAGGAGCTTTCTGGAGGAGTCTTTAGGGTTTTCTAGGTAAACAATCACATCATCAGCAAACAGTGACAGTTTGACTTCCTTTTTACCAATTGGGATGCCCTTTATTTCTTTCTCTTGTCTGGTTGCTCTGGCTAGGACTTCCAGTACTATGTTGAAAAGGAGTGGTGAGAGTGGGCATCCTTGTCTAGCTCCAGTTCTCAGACAGAATGCTTTCAACTTTTCCCCATTCAGTATCTGTTGGCTGTGGGTTTGTCATAGATGGCTTTTATTACATTGAAGTATGTCCTTTGTATGCCAATTTTGCTAAGAGTTTTAATCATAAAGGGATGCTAGATTTTGTCAAATGCTTTTGCTGCATCTATTGAGATGATTTTGTGATTTTTGTTTTTGATTCTGTTTATGTGGTGTATCACATTTATTGACTTATGTATGTTAAACCATCCCTGCATCCCTGGTATGAAACCCACTTGATCATGGTAGATTATCTTTTGGATGTGTTGTTGGATTCAGTTAGCTAGTATTTTGTTAAGGATTTTAGCATCTATGTTCATCAGGGATATTGGTCTGTAGTTGTCTTTTTTGGTTATGTCCTTTCCTGGTTTTGGTATTAGAGTGATACTGGCTTCATAGAATGATTTAGGGAGGATTCCCTTTTTCTCTATCTTGTGGAATAGTGTCAATCGAATTGGTATCAATTCTTCTTTGAATGTCTGGTAGAATTCTGCTGTGAATCCATCTGGTTCCGGACTTTTTTTTGTTGGTAATTTTTTTATTACCATTTCAATATTGCTGTTTGTTATTGGTCTGTTCAGAGTGTCTAATTCTTCCTGATTTAAACTAGGTGGGTTGTTTTTTTCTAGGAATTTATCCATCTCTTTTAGGTTTTCTAGTTTATGTGCATAAAGGTGTTCATAGTAGCCTTGAATGATCTTTTGTATTTCTGTGGTGTCAGTTGTAGCATCTCCCATTTCATTTCTAATTGAGCTTATCTGGATTTTCTTTCTTCTTTTCTTGGTTAATCTTGCTAATGGTCTATCAATCTTATTTACCTTTTCAAATAACCAGGTTTTTGTTTTACTTATCTTTTTTGTTGTTGTTGTTTCAATTTCATTTAGTTCTGCTCTGAATCTTGGTTATTTCCTTTCTTCTGCCGGGTTTCAGTTTGGTTTGTTCTTGTTTCTCTAGTTCCTTGAGGTGTGACCTTAGATTGTCTGTTTGTGCTTTTTCAGACATTTTTATGTAGGCATTTAGAGCTATGAACTTTCCTCTTAGTGTTGCCTTTGCTGTATCCCAGAGGTTTTGAAAGGTTGTGTCACTATTGTCATTCAGTTTGAAGAATTTTTAAATTTCCATCTTGATTTCAGTTTTGACCCAATGATCATACAGGAGCAGGTTATTTAATTTCCATGTATTTGCCTGGTTTTGAAGGTTCCTTTTGGAGTTGATTTCCAGTTTTATTCCACTCTGGTCTGAGAGAATGCTTGATACAATTTCAATTTTCTTGAATTTATTGAGGCTCATTTTGTGGCCTATCATACAGTCTATCTTGGAGAAAGTTCCATGTGTTGTTGAATAGAATGTATATTCTGCATTTGTTGGGTAGAATGTCCTGTAAATATCTGTTAAGTCTATTTGTTCCAGTGCATAGTTTAAATCCATTGTTTCTTTGTTGCCTTTCTGTCTTGATGTCCTGTCTAGTGCTGTCAATGGAGTATTGAAGTCCCCCACTATTATTGTGTTGCTGTCTATCTCATTTCTTAGGTCTATTAGTAATTGTCTTATAAATTTGGGAGCTCTAGTGTTAGGTGCATTTATATTTAGGGTTGTGATATTTTCCTGTTGGACAAGGCCTTTTATCATTATATAATGACCCTCTTTGTCTTTCTAAACTGCTGTTGCTTTAAAGTTTGTTTTGTCTGATATAAGAATAGCTACCCCTGCTCACTTTTGGTGTCCATTCGCATGGAATGTCTTTTTCCTTCCCTTTACCTTAAATTTATGTGAGTCCTTATGTGTTAGGTGTGTCTCTTGAAGTTTGTGTCTCTTGAAGGTGTGTCTCTAGTTGGCTGGTGAATTCTTATCCATTCTGCAATTCCGTGTCTTTTAGATGGTGCATTTAGGCTATTTACATTCAATGTTAGTATTGAGTTGTGAGGTACTGTTCCATTCATTGTGCTATTTGTTGCCTGTATACCTTGTTTTTTTTGTTGTTGTTGTATTTTTGTTGTAGGTCCTGTGAGATGTATGCATTAAAGAGGTTCTATTTTGATGTGTTTCTAGGATATGTTTCAAGATTTAGACCTCCTTTTAGCAATTCTTGTAGTGCTGCTTTGGTAGTGGCGAATTCCCTTAGCATTTGTTTGTATGAAAAATACTGTATTTTTCCTTCACTTATGAAGCTTAGTTTCACTGGGTACAAAAATTCTTGGCTGATAATTGTTTTGTTTGAGGAGGCTGAAGATAGGGTCCGAATCCCTTCTAGCCTGTAGGGTTTCTGTGGAGAAATCTGCTGTTAATTTGATAGGTTTTCCTTTATAGGTTACCTGGTATTTTTGCCTTACATCTCTTAAGATTTTTTTTCTTTGTCTTGACTTCAGATAACCTGATGACAATGTGCCTAGGTGATAACCTTTTTGCAATGAATTTCCCAGGTGTTCTTTGAGCTTCTTGTATTTGGATGTCTAGTTCTCTAGCAAGGCCAGAGAAATTTTTCTTGATTAATCCCCCAAATATAGTTGCCAAATGTTTAGATTTCTTTTCTTCCTCAGGAACACCATTATTCTTAGGTTTGGCCATTTAACATACTTCCAGACTTCTTGGAGGCTTTGTTCATATTTTCTTACTCTTTTTTGTCTTTGTTGGATTGGGTTAATTTGAAAACCTTGTCTTCTGAAGCTTTTCTGCTTGTTTGAGTCTCTGAAGCTCTTCTGCTTGTTTAAGTCTATTGCTGAGACTTTCCAGAGCATTTTGCATTTCTATAAGTGTGTCCATTGTTTCCCGAAGTTTTGATTGTTTTTTATTTATGCTGTCTATTTCATTGACTATTTCTCCCTTCACTTTTTGTATCATATTTTTGATTTCCTTACACTGGGCTTCGCCTTTCTCAGGTGCCTTCCTGATTAGCTTAATAACTATCCTTCTGAATTCTTTTTCAGGTAGATCAGGGATTTCTTCCTGGTTTGGATCCAATGCTGGAGAGCTAGTGTGATTTTGGGGGGATGTTAAAGAACCTTGTTTCATCATATTACCAGAGTTGGTTTTCTGGTGCCTTCTCATTTGGGTAGGCTCTGTCAGAGGGAAGGTCTAGAGCTGAAGGCTGTTGTTCAGTTCCTTTTGTTCAAAAGGGTGTTTCCTTGATGTAGTACTGTCCCTCTTTTCCTAGGGATGTGGCTTCCTGAAAGCCGAGCTGTAGTGATTGTTATCTCTCTTCTGAATCTAGCCACCCAGCAAGTCTAACAGGCTCTGGGCTGGTACTGGGGGTTGTCTGCACAGAGTCCTGTGATGTGAACCATCTGTGGGTCTCTTAGCTGTGGATACCAGTACTTCCTCCAGTGGAGGTGGCAGACTGGTGAAAAGGACTCTGTGAGGGTCCTTAGCTTTGATTGATTAATGCACAATTTTTGTGCTGGTTGGCCTCCTGCCGGGAGGTGGTGCTTTCAAGAGAGCATCAGCTGTGGTAGTATGGGGAGGAACAGGCAGTGGGTAGGGCCTTGGAACTCCCAAGGGTATATGCCCTTTGTCTTCAGTTACCAGGATGGCTTGGGAAGGACCATTAGGTGGGGGCAGGGCTAGGCATGTCTGAGCTCAGACTCTACTTGGGTGGGTCTTGCTGTGGCTGCTGTGGTGGGGGTGGGGTGGGGGGGTGGGGGTGAGGTTCCCAGGTCAATAGAGTTATGTTCCTAGGAGGATTATGTCTGCCTTTGCTGTGTCATGCAGCTTGACAGGGAAGTGCGGGCAAGCTGGCAGTCACAGGCCTCACCCAGTTCCCACACAACGCAAACAGCTGGTCTCACTCCCATTGTGCCCCCAGCAGCAGCACCAAGGCTGTCTCCAGGCAGTGGGCAAGCAGGACCGAGTACTTTCCCCAGGCTACCCGCCTCCCAGCTGTGAAAATAAACAGGGCTCTCCTTCTTCCCTGCTCTGTTGAGTCTGCACACTGGATTCATGCCCTCCCCCTGAGTTCTGGCCAAGAGACTTCTCCATCAGTTGAAATTGTTACAAAGTTCAGCTGGAGTTTTCCTTCTCCCTGCAGCTTTCCCAGTGCCTCCAGCAGCCCTCCTCAAGGACCCCTGTGAGGCCAGGCAGAAATGGCGTGGCAGGGGACCCAGCGAGCCCAGAGGGATTTTGCCGCTGCTTCCTCTACCCCTGTATTTCACGCAGCTCTCTAAATTGACTCAGCTCCAGGTAAGGTCAGAATCTTCTCGGATAATCTAGACCTTCAGGTTCCCCAGTGGGGCTGTGTGTTTGGGGGCAGACGACCTCCCTTTCCCACTTCCACAGTTTGGGCGCTCGTAGTATTTGGGGTGTCTCCTGGGTCCTGCAGGACCCTTTAGAGGGTCCATGGGTTCTTGCGGCATTCCTAATGTATTCCTGCAGTCCTTCTGGAGCAAAAGTTCACGATGCAAGCCTCCACACGCTGCTCTGTCTGTCCGAGTGGGAGCTGCAGTCCAGTCCTGCCTCCCGTCCGCCATGATCTCTCCTTTGCAACTAGCTTTTAAAATTAATTAAAAAGCTATCTGTTATCCAAGCTATTTTTATAGGCAAGCTTAGCTTACAGGAAAATCTCTGACTCGGTCCCTTGCTATGGTGTGTTGAGTTTAATGTCTCTGCCAATTTTCCTAATTATTTTTAATAAATTATCA
The DNA here is from genome assembly GCF_000001405.40 of Homo sapiens. Taxonomy (NCBI): domain Eukaryota; kingdom Metazoa; phylum Chordata; class Mammalia; order Primates; family Hominidae; genus Homo; species Homo sapiens. The sequence goes on along the minus strand of NC_000004.12, from coordinate 86,452,571 downwards.
GAAACAAACTGAAAGAAGCTTTCAGACTTGCGTGTGTGTGTGTGTGTGTGCGTGCGCATTGTATGTTTGTGTGTGTGGAAGAGAAGGAAGTAGGAATTAGGGAAAGAAAAGGAAGAGGGAGAGAAAATTTTGTTTTGTTCTTTCCCTTTTTCTACAGCTGCTTCCATGCCTACAATAATTTCTCTCTCTTGCATGCTTAGAGTGAAAGTGAATATTATGTGTAACCCAAATGTCTAATACCTGGATTGGCACTAACCACTTAATAGATCTAATTACACACTCTCTCCTACCAAGGGTCACGTTAGTATATTTGGGCTGCATCTTAAATCATTCCTGGCTCTAGCCTGTTCTCTGTTGTTTGGTTCCTAACCATGGCTTTAGTTCTTCCTTGGGTCTCTGCATGCTCTGCTCTAGTGCTTGATTTAATAATATGGTGGAGGAGTGTGCAGACTCTGGAGCCAGATAGTCTGGTTTCAAATCCTGACTCTGACACTTATCAGCTATAGGATCTTGGGCATCTCGTTTAATCTTTCTGCATTTCAGTCTCCTCACTTGTAAAATGGACATAAAACAAATAGCTACCTTACAGGGTTGTTGTGAGGGTTATGTAACAGATGTCCTGTTCATATCGTGTTCGATTTCTCTTCCATCTTTGTGCACACAGGCCCCAGATGAGCTGTCATCCCCCGAGCTGGTATCTGGTGTCTTTTTTTGTCAACTCCTCTCTCAGATCCTGCTTTGGACTCGAGATCTAAAAGTACCTGGGAATTTGTGTGCCCTCCCCTGTTTCCCCAGCCTTAATGAATGACTGCCACTTTAGGAATGTAAATACTCCACCTCCCTTGCTCCATAGGCATCAGGCACATGGGTTGCACATAACTCAGGCTTGTTTTACACTGGGGCTCCTGTGGGATTGAGTTATCATCCCTCTGAAGTGGTTCACACCTTTGCTTGGCCTCCTTCACTTTCTGGTCCCACCGTACCACTCCCACTCCTCCTGGAAACACTTTTTCTTAAATCACTTTCACACAAATCCTTGCCTCAGGGTCTGGTTCTGGGGAAGTCAACTTAAAGTAGTTTGTTTGAGTTAGTATCCATATAAAATGCTTTGCATATAATATGTCATATAAATATTGGCCGTTATTCTTCATGTTATTACCATGCTAGTCTAAAACAAGGTAGTTTGGTGAAGGTCTCCTTTACCTCTCTACCTCATCACCAGAATATATATTTTACTCTATTTAATAATTCATCACAGAACTGCTAATATAAGGCTGTTCGTATACTGGGTTTCTGGAAGGTTTGGGGATAACAGTGTAGGACATAAAAACTTAAAAACCGAATGATAAAAATGTAATTTACTTGAAGAGTCAAGACAACCCTATTTATTTGTAGAGGACTCTACAAACAGAATCTGGCCTTGCTTCCATTATTAGCGGTTTGTACTTCTCTCTGAGATCCTCAGTGGGGGAAGTTCCTTTAAGCCTTTGTTACCTTGTAAATCTCCATCCTCTTTAGAAAACCTTTGCCTACACTCCACAAAATCTCTCTAAAACTTAACTTTGAATATGCTCCCTTTCTTTGCGTAATTGAGGATTTGGATTTACATCCAAATGGCATGTCAGACACTAATTTTATAGCTTTTTACAATGTATCAGAGAAGAAAAAGAAAATAACTTTTAATGGAAAGAATACTTTTGAATTCTAGGACTGCATGCATTAAAAAAGTTTGGTTAGCCAGCATTTTATTTTGTAAGCCAACATCTTAATGTTCTTTTTGAAAGTGCTGGAACAGTTTGCTTTATGACTGAGACATTAAATGTCAAGCGTGAACCCATATGCTGGGTTGTAAGTGTTCAAATAGCTGTATTATGTGAAATTCTAGAAAACTGGGTTTGCCATGGAAATGTTGTTATAGTTATAACTATGGGTAGGTTACTGTGGTTGCATCTCTGACCTAAAAAAAGAAAAGCACTAAAATTCATACCCTAGGGGTAACTGACGAGGCAGAGGCAGAGATAATTGAAGGATTTCAATTATTTAAAAATAAATCTCTGTTTTTCCCCCATTTTTCAGTTATAAATTAATATAATACTTTCTGTTTTCAAATAGACTCTTACATTTATAAAAGATTTCAGTTTAGTCAAATTTTGAATGCTGATGAGTAATATTTAGCTCAGGTTTTGAAGTATGTGGTATGAAAAAGTTGTGCCGAAATATTAAGCTTTGGAGTGTCTGGGGTTATTCTGGAATTTCCTACTGACAGCACTGTAAATTTAGGGAGATAATTAAACTGTATAATACTGATACTTCACTCTGACTAAACTCCACCATAAATTTACTAAATGGTAAGAGATATTTACTGTTTGTAGTTGTAATGTGCAGGCACAGTATTTGACTTAGTTTATTAGTTCTCTATTGCTGCTATGACAAATTAGCACAACTTATTGGCTTAAAACAACACACATTTATTATCTCATCGTTTCTGTGGATTGGGAGTTCAGGCACAATTTAGCTAGTTCCTCTGCTTAGAGTTTCCCAAGATTACATCAAAGGATCAGCTGGGCTGCATTTCCTTCTGGAGCTCAGGGTCCTCTTTCAAGCTCCTGTGACTGTTGGCAAAATGCAGGCTCCTGAGGTTATAGAACTGAAGTCTTCATTTTGTTGCTGGCAATTAGCCAGGGTAACTCTCATCTTCCAGAGGCTGCCCTTTGTGCGCCTACAACATGGCAGGTTACTTCTCAAGACCAGCAGGAAAATTTTGTCCTCCAGTCTTCTGGGATGAAGTCTCATATAATGTAACAATCACGGAAGTGACTATGCTATCGCCTTTGCCACGTAATATAACCTAATAAAGAGAGTGACTATCCTACTATGTTTGCCACATTCTATTGGCTAAAAAGCAAGTCACAGTTTCCTAGTTTCCTCCACATTGAAGGAGACTTTGCAAAAGCATGCATGACTTATTGGGGGTCATGTTAGGATGGGTACACCATACTTAGTATACCCAAAACCATATCATCTGTTCATGTATCACATTGAAGTTGACTAGGGTCAGGTTTTTTCATTTCATGTCATGGTACTATGGTAAATTGAAATATGAGTAAAGAAATATATTATTGAAACATATGAGTCACTGAAACCATTGGTGGTCTTAAATAAAGCACGCTTTAACTTGAATTTATGTTCTAAGTCTCTAAAATAAATGCGAGGTAAATGTTACCTTCATGACCATAAAGACATTTGTAGTGTTTTTTGGTTAGTACCTGCTGGTGAACTCAGAGCTTCAGATGATTTTGATGGATTATGGGAGCAAGACATTTTCACGGAGGATTAGATCTGGAGATTTAAAAATGACACTTGGAAAACAAGGAACAAACCACAGTCAGTTAGAACACGGGTCCCCAACCCCTGGGGCCACAGACTGGTACAGGAACTAGGCTGCACAGCAGGAGGTGAGCAGGGTCGTGAGGTGGGGGTGGTGCGGTGGGGGTGGCGAGCCAGCGATCCTCCTCTGTATTTACAGTTGCTTGCATTACCGCCTGAGCTCTGCTTCCTGTCAGATCAGCAGCGGCATTAGATTCTCAGAAGCAGGAACCCTATTGTGAACTGTGCATGCAAGGGATCTTGGTTGCACGCTACCTATAAGAATCTAATGCCTGATGATCTGTCACTGTCTCCTATCACCCCCAGATGGGACTGACTAGTTGCAGGAAAACAAGCTCAGGGCTTCCACTGATATTACATTATGGTGAGTTGTGTAATTCTTTCATTATATATTACAATGTAATAATAATAGAAATAATGTGCACAATTAAATGTAATGCACTTGAATCATCCTGAAGCCACCTCCCTGCTCTGCCCTTGGTCAGTGGAAAAATTGTCTTCCATGAATCCGGTCCCTGGTGCCAAAAATGTTGGGGAGTGCTGGGTTAGAAGCTGTAATGGAACAAAATGCCCTTTTATAATAGTAATAAAACATGAAATACCTAGGAATAAAGTTAACAAGAAATTTATAAGATCTACATTTAAAAAGTTAAAATATTACTAAAGAACACAAAGAATACTTTGACAAATGGTAAGACATATTATGTTCTTGGATAGGAAGTCTTACTATTACAAAACTGACATTTCTCTAGTTAATCCATAAATTTAAGATAAAAAAAAAAACCCAGAATTCTTTTTAATTAGACTAGTTGACTCTAAGATTCATATGGAAACATCATCAAGGAACAATAGACTAGAAAATTCTGACAAAAAAATAGAGAGAAAATTTAGGGAGGATTTGCTAGGCACATATTAATATGTATATGCTACATAAAGCTATATTAATTAAAAGTGTGGTACTAGTATATTAATGAAAAGGAAAGAAAGCTGTGAAATAGACTCTAATACAGGTTGGTTAAATAAAAATTGGTTTGTGAGAATAAGAATGTGTTTTTTTTGTGTATGTGTGTTTATGTGCTAAGTATTTACTAGGCTCTTTACATATTAACATAATCTAACTCCCACAAAAACTGTGTGAGATAGGAACCATTATTATTTTCATTTAGAAAAGGGGAAACTGAGACATAGAGAGCACAACTAACTTGCTTCTAATAAATAGAGGAGCTGGGACTGAAATTCATTTAATCATGCTCCAGAGCTGACATATTCTCTCATTAGGCTACACATTCCCCCATGCTTGTGGAATTCTAGGTAGGTGTAAAAAAGAAAGAATTAACTCTATATGTATTATACTGATAATCTAGATAATCTAGAGATACACACATATATGTATTTTTAAGATACACATTTTAGGAGAAAACTTCAAGGAATATAATAGTGTAGTATATTACCATTGTTGTAGAAAAACAAAATATATAAATGTTTACAATACATGGTTTATCTTCATAGATTCAAAAAAGAAAAAAAAAGCACCAGTGTTTGTATCGTGGGAGAGGAACTGAGTTGCTTGGAAGGAGGAAGGAGGAAGATTTACTGTTTATGTTTATCATTTTGTGTATTTTGAATTTTGTGCCATGTACATATACTCTATTAAAGAAAATAAGTTAAATAACAATAACAAAACCAGTAAACTCAGGGAAGAGTATTTTCAAGAACCTGGTTTATACAGTATGTGTATTAGTCCATTTTCACACTGCTGTAAAGAAATACCCAAGACTGGGTAATTTATAAAGGAAAGAGGTTTAACTGACGCACAGTTCTCCATGGCTCCAGAGGCCTCAGGAAATTTACAATCATGGTGGAAGGTGAAGGGGAAGCAAGAACCTTCTTCACAAGGCAACAGGAGAGAGAAGAAAGCAAAGCGAAGTGGGAAGAGCCCCTTAAAAAACCATCAGATCTCTTCAGAATTCTCTCACGATCACAAGAACAGCATGGGGAAAACTGCCCCCATGATCCAATTACCTCCCACCAGGTCCCTCTCTCAACACCTGGGGATTACAATTTGAGATAAGATTTGGGTGGTGATACAAAGTCAAACCGTATCAGTATATATTTACAAGTAGTTTGCTTCTGCTTATAAGGACAGTTTATGTTACAAACGTTTAACATGCAACATAAATAAGTGAAAAGATGAGTTCCAAAGACTGAGAGAAGGTATTCGTAACACACAGAACCAACAAATAATTATTATTTAGAATATATGAAGGACTCTTAAACATCAATAAAAAAAGACAAACACATGGGAAAAATAAAGATATGAACAGGTAATTCAAAGAAGAAGAAGTTCAGGAGAAGCACATGAAAAGATGATCAACCTTATTAGTAATTAGGGGGAGGCAAATTAAATGAGACACAGCATTTCACACCCCTAAATTTAAAAGTTTGACAGAAGTATCAGTAAGGATGGAGAGTAATAGCAAATATCATATCAAGAACTGCTGGTGGGAGTGCAAGTTGGCGCAACCACTTTGGGGAATAAATATAATGCTTAGCAGAGAGAGAGATGCCTTTGAAGACCTGTGATTAAATAATTCCATCCACATGTGCTCAGGGAGACAAGCACATGAATGTTTATAGTGGCATTTTTTTAAAATAAAAATATTTACTGGGGCTATGTGTGTCAGCTAATGCCTGTAATGCTAGAGCTTTGGGAGGCCAAGGCAGGAGGATTGCTTGAGGCCAGGAGTTTTCAACCAGCCAGAGCAACATGGTGAGACTCTCTCAAAAAATAAATAAATAAATTCTTGAATGTGTTAGGTAATGTAATTCTCAACTATTTTATCTTAGAATTTTTAATGCTTGGCAACTGATACCTATGGCATCTATGAAATGGACATTGCTACCACGATTTTACTTTATTTAGTAGTTACTCTAGAGTATGCAATGTCCATTTACAGCTAATCCAAATCCACTTTCAAATACATTTGAAAGTGAGCTATACTGCTTCACAGATAATACAAGTACCTTGTAACAATAATCGAGTATTTCTAATTCTTCCCTTCTGCCCTTTGTATTATGCCCTCCAGCGCCTTACTGTCATTCATTTCACTTCTACATAAGCTATAATCGATCATCAAATACATTATTTCTATTATTATTTTGAACAAACTGTTATCTGTGAGATCAATTAAGAATAAGAAAAATTAAGATTTTTTTCTTTACCTTTACCTGTTCCTTTATTCCTTCTCTAATCTCTTTCCTTTCTTTATGTAAATTTGAGTTTTTGACCTATATTATTTTTCTTCTCTCTGAAGACATTCTTTCAATATTTGTTGCAAGGCAGGTCTACTGGCAACAAATTCCCTCAATTTTTGTTTGAGAAAGCCTCTTACACTTTTGAAGGATTTCACAGGATCTGTTAGTAGTTTTATTTTCCCCTTCTACATACATACTTTAAATATTTAACCCTCGTCTTTTCTTGCTTGTGTGGCTTCTGAGAAGTCAGATGTAATTCTTATTTTTGCTCCTGTATAGGTAAAGTGTTTTTTCCCTCTGGCTTCTTTCTGTTTTTGTTTGTTTGTTTTTCAGTGTAAATTTAAATTTTTATTTTTAACCTTATTTTAAGTTCCAGGGCACACGTGTAGGATGTGCAGGTTTGTTACATAGGTAAATGTGTGCCATGGTGGTTTGCTGCACCTATCAATCCATCATCTAGGTATGAAGCCCAGCATGCATTAGCTATTTTTCCTGCTACTCTCCCTCCCCATGACAGGCCCCAGTATGTGTTGTTCCCCTCCCTGTGTCCATGTGTTCTCATTATTTAGCTCACACTTATAAGTGAGAACATGTGGTGTTTCATTTTCTCTTCCTGCATTAGTTTGCTGAGGATAATGGCTTCCAGCTCCATTCATGTCCCTGCAAAGGAAATGATCTCGTTTATTTTTATGGCTACATAGTATTCCATGGTGTATATGTGCCACATTTCCTTTATCCAGTTTATCATTGATGGGCATTTGGGTTGATTCCATGTCTTTGCTATTGTGAATAATGCTGCAATGAACATATGTGTGCATGTATCTTTGTAACTGAATGATTTATATTCCTTTGGGTATATACCCAGAAATCAGATTGCTGGGTCAAATGATATTTCTGGTTCTAGATCTTTCAGGAATCGCCACACTGTCTTCCACAATGGTTGAACTAATTTACATTCCCACCAACAGTGTAAAAGCATTCCTATTTCTCCACAGCCTTGCCAGCATGTGTTGTTTCTTGACTTTTTAATAGTAGCCATTCTGACTGGCATGAGATGGTATCTCATTGTGGTTTTGATTTGCATTTCTCTAATGATCAATGATGTTGAGCTCTTTTTTTATATATTTGTTGGCCGCATGAATGTCTTCTTTTGAGAAGTGTCTGTTCATGTCCTTTGCCCACTTTTTGATAGGGTTGTTTTTTTTTTTTCTTGTAAATTTGTTTAAGTCCCCTGTAGATTCTGGATAGACCTTTGAGAAATGGATAGATTGCAAAATATTTATCCCACTCTGTAGGTTGCCTGTTTGATCTGATGATAGTTTCTTTTGCTGTGCAGAAGCTCTTTAGTTTAATTAGAACCCATTTATCAATTTTTGCTTTTGTTACACTTGCTTTTGGTGATTTTGTCATAAAATCTTTGCCCTTGCTTATGTCCTGAATGACATTGCCTACATTTTCTTCTATGTTTTTTCTAGCTTTGGGTTTTACATTTAAGTCTTTAATCCATCTTGAGTTAATTTTTGTAAAATGTGTAAGGAAGGGGTCCAGTTTCAATTTTTTGAATATGTTTATCCAGTTCTGCCAGCACTATTTATTAAATCCCTCTGGCTTCTTTCAAAATTTTTCTTTATCTTTGATTTTCTGCCATTTGAATACGATTTTTGTAGTTTTGGGGCATTTATTCTGCCTGGTATTTTCTGAGCTTCCTGGATTTGTGGTTTGGTGTCTGACATTAATTTGGGGAAATCTTCAGGCATTATTGTTCCAGATATTCCTTCAGTTGCTTTCTCGCTTTCTTATTCTGGTATTTTCATTATGCATATATTACACCTTTTGTAGTTGTTGTGCAGTTCTTGGATGTTCTGTTTTTTGTTTTTTATTTTTCAGTCTTTTTTTTTTTAAATTTTCAGTTTCTATTGACATATCCTCAAACTCAGATTCTTTCCCAAAAACATTCTTCATTTCTAGTTCAGTGTTTTTGATCTCTAGCACTTTGTTTGGATTCTTCCTTATAATTTCCTTCCCTCTGCTTATATTACGCATCTATTCTTGCATGTTGTCTACTTTTTCCGTTTGTGCCCTTAGCAAGTTAGTCATAGTTGTTTTAAATTCATGGTCTGGCAATTGTAACATTCATGCCATGAGTCTTGTTCTGATGCTTGTTCAGTCTCTTCCAACTGTGCTTTCTGCCTTTTAGTGTGCCCTGGACTGTTTGCTGAAAGGTGGACGTGATGTACTGTGTAGCAGGAACTGCTAAAAATAAGCCTTTACTGATGTGGTGGTAAGATGCGTTTTGTGCGTGTGTGTGTGTTTGTGTGTGTGTGTGGTGGGAAAGGGCTCAATAGTCCTGTGATTAGGTCTCGTCTTTCAGCGAGGCTGTGCCCTTGGTCTGTGAACTTCACAAGTGCTTCTCGGTTCTCCTTGCACCCATCTTAGGTGGGACAGGATAGCTAGAGGGAGCTGGAGTTGGGTATTTTCTTTTCTCCACATGGAAAACTAGAGGGGACGGGAGTTGGATATTTTGGCTTCTGCAGGGTGGTTAGGCTCTGATAAAACTCTAGTAAGTTAGGGGCTGGTAAAATAGTTTCTCCTGAGGGCAGGCCTTGTTAAGTAGAGCAGAATGCTTTGGTGTATTTCAAAATGGTTACTTTCACCTCTCCCAGCTGGAAACACAAGGGAATTTTTTTTTTTTTCCATTTTCACTGTGAGAAGCTGATAGAGCTCCTGGAGGTAAAAATTGCAAAAGTTTGGGCATCCCCTCTAAGACTGAGTCTCCTTGGAGTTTTCAACACAAAAACTTATCTATTCAGAGCTGCCAGCAATTCCTCAATTCTAATTTAGGTTTTCCTGCTGGGGCACTGGTTCCCTCAGAGGTTTCTGCTCAGGGAAGTTGTGGTTCTCAGTGTCCCTGTCTGTCTCTTCAGGGCAGTGCTTTGCTCTGTGACCTCCCTTCTCTGATGGATCATAAAAGTGTTTGATGTTCAGCTTGTTTAGCTTTGCCTTGTTGTTAGAATGGTGTTTTTGACTTCTAAGCTCCTTACATGCTGGATGGAAAATGGAGTTCGGCTCAGTGGCGTTATTTTTATTAAAATATTGAAAAATCTGAAACATCCCAAATATCATTCGGAGAATGAATAATCAAATTATGGTATATTCATATCATGGAATACGGTAACACAGGTAAAGGAATGTACTGGATTTAAATAATTTAAGATTGTTCTATCACAGAAACAGAGTGGGAAAAAACAGATACAGAATGATACACAACAATACTATATGTTGTTTATGGATACATACATGTGTAAGTACAAAAATCTAACAGAAAGGTACATACCATCTTAGGATAGTGATTTCTTCTTCTGTGGATGTAGGGAGGAATTAAATAAGTGAGGAATAAAACAGAGACACCCACTATGTGAGTAATATTTTATTTCTAAAAAGAAGCAAATATTTAAAGCAGATACAACAAAGTACTAATACCTGGTGAGTATGTGTGACCTTAGGAAAGCTAATTAACCTCCAAGTGCTTATAGTTTTCTTTGCTTTCACATAGGGACAATAATATTTATCTCATAGTTGCCATTAGGATAAAATTAACTAATATATTTTTGAAAATTTTGTAATAAGAATGTAAATAAAATTACTATGAAAAAAGATTGAAATATTGAAATAATTTGAAAGACTTTGAAAAATAACATTATATGGATTATTATTGTCACAAGTTCTACCATATTCAACTCAAAGTAGACCACATAAATCTATTCGCATTCTTTACTCTAGCTGTCATTTTATTTGAAAAATGCCATGAATACATCTGCTTTTGGTGATCAGATGATCAAGAGAAAATGAAAAAATGAAGCATTAGTTGTATGTGTTCTGGAGGAGTCAGAGGCTAATTTAGTTTCCATCGGGATTTCCCAGGGAATGTACGAATTTTTGCTAAGCCTTTTTGATCTTTGTCTACATACTTTAATAACTCACAAAAAGATACCCCCCAGCCCCTTTTGTGACCCTGGATTGAAATAAACATCTTTTCAAAATGCTAGTGGAATTTACTACTGTTTCTATTCATTAACAAAATACCAGGAAGCAGCAGGAGAGGCTTCCATGGGGACAATAGGGGGAGCCTGGATGCCCCTGGAGTAGACAGATGCTTGTCCATCAAGTTTCTCCTCTGTCCCTAGTGTGGATGGGGTTTCTGCTCTGATTGACAGCCTAGTCCATGTTTTTTAAATCACTAGAGTCTTCATGGCATGTCAGGTTGCTGTGACCTTGCTTGAAATTGCTTTGAAAAGTACAGTGCTTTTGAATGACTTGGAAAATACCTTATGTTTAGGAAAATGCTTGTTTCTAGCTTTAAGCAAAAAGAATTCTACACAGTCATATGAACTATTTTAAAGCCATAGTTTGAAGCCTGAAATTTCTATTGTGAAATAGCATGTCCCTGGAACATGTGCTTTGTGGCTAAAAGGTTCATATGGTTTCTGTAACTACGCAATGCAAAAGTAGGTCTCTTTGAACCTAAACTGAGAGAAACTGTTGAAGCGTGAGTTACTCTGTGAACTCAATGCTTGCAGCAGAATACGAATAAGGGTATTTTAGCAATTCTGGGGCAGGCTTTGGGATGAATCAGAACATTGCCCTCTAGGTAAAAAATTCTCTATGACTAAGTGAAAATGCCTAGCTACTCCCAGGTTTACTTTGTAGAAACAAGACAGTCACACACACATTATATACATGCAAACATGCACATGAAAATACATCCCATTTCCTATATCTGGCAATGCTGAGGAATGAGGTTTTCTCTATACAAATGAAACCTAATCAATTAAATATAATAGTTTAATATTTTATATGAATCTGAAATCTTTAATCTACACCAAACACATTTTAAGTTTTTCTTGATGATTCATCCATCACTATTAATAATTAATTATGATGCTTTTATTTCTCTGTAATGCTTTGCTTGTATTCCTCCTCCTTCCCCATTACTAAAGCAATACTTGTTTCAGAAAATCAGAAAATACAGAGAGAAAAACATCAATTATTATATTTGTTACTCTGTGTAAATATTTCCGAACACCCACTCATATGCACACATGTAGTTAAGGAGGAACATGTAATACCTTTTGTGGTCTGCCTTTTTCTCTTAATGATTTATCATGAATACTTTTTAAAATATCAGTGGACTCATACCAGAAACATCATTTTAAATGACATATGCCACTGTATGGACATATTCTATTATATTTTATTTCAATAATTTCATATTGGACAGTTACATTCCTTTTTTTTTTTTTTTGAGACAGGATCTCGCTCTGTCACCCAGGCTTGAGTGCAGTGGTGTGATCAGCTCACTACAGCCTCAACCTTCTGGGCTCAAACAATCTCCCACCTCAGCCTCCTAAGTAGCTGAGACTACAGGCATGTGCCACCATGCCTGGCTAATTTTTTTATTTTTTGTAGAGACAGGATCTCACTTGCCCAGGCTGATCTTGAACTCCTAGGTTCAAAAGATATTCCTGCCTCATCCTCCCAAAGTGCTGGGATTACAGGCATGAGGGCACCTGGCCATGTTCAGCATTCTTATATCACAAACAACACTGAATGTACTTGTGTGTGTTGGCATGTATATGTGTATAAATATATATAGCTCTATGTTCCTTAATTAGTTCCTTATAATACATTATTAAATATGGAATTTGTAGTTCAAAGAACATGCCCATTTTTGAGAATTTTGATATGTTTTGTCAGCCAGGGCAAATATTCAGCTAGTATATCCTAGAGACACATATAGTCTATATCTTGTGTCTACTCTGGTTGTTTAGTGCCTGTGCTGTTTTGGTGATTAAATATCTTGAAATATTTATTTTTGCAAAACTATTTCAGAAGAAAAATTTGTATTCCCACTCAGCTTTACATTTTGAGGAGAGATGAGAGGATTTCCCTTAAATGTTTTTATATTTCTTCTCATATAAAAACAATCACCTAAAACTCAGGAAATGTTTGAACAGAAATTTTGGGGCTAGAAGGCTGATTTTTTTTCTTGGATTAAAATATATAATACTTAGTTATATTTGGACAGATACTTTACCAAAGAAGAAATGAGTTAGTACTAGACACCTATTGGATTGGCTAAAACAAAAAACAAGAAACAAACAAACCTGACTATACCAAGTAATAATAAGAATATGTAACAACTAGAACTCTCACACGTTGCTGGTAGGAATAAAAAATACTACAGACACTTTCAAAAACCGTCTGACAGTTTCTTTAACATTAAACATACACTTACAATATAACCCAGCAATTCTACCTTTAGGTATTTATCCAAGAGAAAGGAAAACGTCTGTCTACATAAGAACATATATGCAAATATTTGTAGTGGCTTTTTCACAATTGCCCCAAATTGGAAACAACCCAAATGTTCTCATCTGATGAATGGATAAAAAAGTGGTGGTACATCCATAAAGTGGAAGGCTACTCAGCAATAAAAAGGAATGAACTTATTGATGCACATAAGAATATGAATGAATATCTAATGCATTAATACTGAACAGGCTACATAATATATGATTTAATTTATATTTTAGAAAAGGGAAAATTATAGGAATAGAAAAGAGATTAATGTTTGCCAGAGGCTGGAGATGGGGTGAGAGGCTGACTTTAAAGGTGCACCATGAGGAAACTTTTAGGGTAAGAGAACTGATAAATATCTTAATTGTGGTTGCAGCTATATGACTATATGCATTTTTCAAAACTCATAGACCTGTACATCAAAAAGTGCTAATTTTACCATAGGTAAATTAAAAAGGCAAATAAAAATTTTTAAAAATGAAAATAAAAATAAAAATCTATTTTTAACAGGAAAAAGAAAATATCATGCTGAAACCTCTTGGCCACCATAAGAATGCACATTGCAGCCATCGAACCACAGTCAGCATGATTGACCAAAGGGCCCAGCTGCTGGCTTGAAATCCTTTGCTGCATTTGCTAGTGACTAGTTGGGATACTAAAGTAGGCCCATTCCTGGGAGTCACGGGGCTCCCCAGTGGCCTCATTGAAACTTCCTTAGACTACACCATAATGTGGTATGCTTCCACCCCTCCCTCCTTTCTTCCTTTGCTCGAGTCAGACTTGCATGGTAGTCTGATGGTTCCCTCAGTCTTACTGGCCCCCTCAATTTCTTTCACACAGGCATTTCCCAAAAAATCCTTGCATGTTTTTTTTTTTTTTTTTGAGATGGAGTTTTGCTCTTGTCACCCAGGCTGCAGTGCAAAGACACGATCTCAGCTCACTGCAACCTCCACCTCCTGGGTTCAAGCAATTCTCCTGCCTCCACCTCCTGAGTAGCTGGGATCATAGGCGCCTGCCACCACACCCAGCTAATTTTTGTATTTTTAGTACAGACAAGTTCTCACCATGTTGGCCAGGTTGGTCTAGAACTCCTGACCTCAGATGATCCACCCCCCTCGGCCTCCCAAAGTGCTGGGATTACAGGCATGAGCCACTGTGCCCAGCCCTTGCATGTTAAATCATGTCTTGGCAGATGCTTCTTGCAAGACCTGAACTAACACAACCTCCAATTTTACACTTTATAATATGATCATCATAAAGATAAAATGCATGATCATATTTTTAATTACTTTTACCCAATGATCTCTTTTATAAGCATATTTATTTAAGTATAACATACAATAAAGAAAGACATACTAAATGTAAGCACATGGCTGTATAAATTTTCAGTAAGCGAAATTGCCACCCAGATCAAGAATTAGAATATTAGTAGTAATTCATAATCCCTCCTCCCCCATTTATGCCCTCTATCAGTGACTAATTCCCTCTTGAAGGTAACCAATGCCCTGAATTCCTAGCATTATAGATCTGTTTTGCTTACTTCTGAACTTTATATAAGTGGCATCATTCAGCATATACTTTCATTTTTGTTTGACTTTTGAACAACATGTTTATGAGATTAAATCATGATAGTGTGTATAGCAGCACTTTCTTCCTTTTTTATTGTTATAGAATATTCCATTGAGTGAGCATAGTACAGTTTATTTATGCATTTTACTTTTGAGGGGCAATTATGTCTTTTCCCCCAGTTTTGTGCTGTACAGTTAATGCTGTTATGAGCATATTTGAACATGTCTTCTGGTACATGTATGTATTTATTCCTATTTGGTATATCACTAGGAGTAGAATTGTGAGATTATAGGTTATGCATATGATCAGCATAAAAAGATATGATAACAACTTTTCAAAGTGGTTATACTTTCAGCAGCTGTGTATAAGAATTCAATTTCCTCTGCAACCTCATCATTCATACTTGATATAAAATTGACAAAGACACAACAGTAAAGGAAAATTATAGGCTAATCTTTCTCATAGACATAAAATCTTAAGTTATTAGCAAATAGAATCTAGCAGCCTATAAAAGATAGTATATCATAACCCATGATGTGGGTTTCCTTGAACGCAAAGTGGGCTTGGCATTTGAAATATCAATTTATGTAATTCTGCACAAATAACAGAATACAAGAGAAAAATCATTTAGTTATCTAAATAGAAGAAAAAAAGCATTTGATAAACTATAATATCCCATCAAGATTTAAAAAACCACTCAGCAAACAGAAGAGAAGAGAGCTTCCTTAGTTTAATGAAGAATATCCATAAAACATCTGGGGCAAACATCATTTTTTTTTTTTTTTTTTTTGAGACAGAGTCTCACTCTGTCGCCCAGGCTGGAGTGCAGTGGCGTGATCTTGGCTCACTGCAAGCTCCACCTCCCAGGTTCACGCCATTCTCCTGCCTCAGCCTCCCGAGTAGCTGGGACTACAGGTGCCTGCCACCACGCCTGGCTTATTTTTTTTGCATTTTTAGTAGAGATGTGGTTTCACCGTGTTAGCCAGGATGGTCTCGATCTCCTGACCTCGTGATCTGCCCACCTTGGCCTCCCAAAGTGCTGGGATTACAGGCATGAGCCACCAGGCCTGGCCAAACATCATTTTTAATGGTGAAATATTGAAAACTTTTTCTCTGATGTAAGCAAATACACAAGGAGATGCCTTTTATCATCACTTCTATTTAATTTTTTTATGTGAGGTCCCTACCAGGGAAATAAGGCAAGAAAAATATAGGTATTGGGAAGGAAGATATAAAATAATCATTTTTCTATCTTCATATATCTTGATATATTAACTATACAACAGTCAATATTATATCTTTATATCACAAGTGACATGACTGGATACATATGAAATCCAAGAGCTCCCACAACTAAATTTTAGAATTAAGTACATTTAGCTAGGTTGTTGGGTACAAAGTCAGTATATAAAAGTAAATTTTATTTCTACACATCAGCAACAAAACTATTAGAATATGAAAATTTAAAAAACAATTAAAAAATACATCAAAAAAAGGCTACATTGGTGCCTATACTAAATGACCATCGATTGCCATGTGTTTGCTGTCTTGTCAAAGTTTTGATAGTTTTCCTATCTCTTAACTCACTGGGTTGTTAGCTACAATTTCTTTTGCTATCATTATGCTTGCTTCTAACTGTAACTTATTTTAGTAATTTTCTGCCTCAAATGTGCTACGATTGGAAAATCAATAAAAACATAAAATGACTAAAAATGATTGTAATAAAACTAAAAGGATTTTAGTGCTCAGACTTTGTGAGTTTCATTTTGGCCACCCAGGAGTTACTCAGAGCCCTTTACACTTATATTCAGGGTCTAGTGTTGCTCAAAGTGACTGAGGTTGCCAGAAGTATAAACTCCAGGGAAGAGGGGTTATGAACTCTCCAAGTTCCCTGCTTGAATAGGACTTTCCTCAAAGTTTTCTCTGAAGTTATTTCATCTTGAAAGGTAAAGAAAAAAAGAAGTTGATTTCAGCTTCTGTATAGGAATTTTTAACAAAATATGATTACCTTTTTTTGGGCAAATGTTTGGTATAAATTAATCAGTAAGTTTGTGGTTAGATATTGACTTTGATATGATTTAATATACACAATGATTTTTAGACAAAGTTGCACTGGCTATTGTTAGTCCTGGAAGGTTTTGTTTCTAATATTAGCTGAATTTGGCTCAGCTCAATAAGTAAGATTACAGCCAAATAAATACTATTAACTAAGTAAGCCTATAATTATCAAAACTGCACTCCAGAAATTGGGTTTTAGAGGATTAATTCAGTGAGCATTGAGTCTATAGCTGACCTAACAGCCAGAGCAAAAGTGACTAATCAGAAGGTAGCCTTTGCTGGTTGACAGGAGCTAATGGGGCTGCATTATTAAATATTTGAGCTCTAGTCATGGCCTGTGGGTGCTCTGATGGCATCACATATTTTCTTTTCTTTTTTAAAAAAATTATTCTTTTTTATTAAGGTAAAATATACATATAAAATTTACCATCTTTGCCTTTTTTTTTGTGAGATGGCGTTTTGCTCTTGTTGCCCAGGCTGGAGTGCAATGGTGTGATCTCGGCTCACTGCAACCTCTGCCTCCTGGATTTAAGCAATTATACTGTCTCAGCCTCCTGAGTAGCTGGGATCACAGGCGCCTGCCACGATGCCCGGTAAATTTTTGTATTTTTAGTAGAGACTGGGTTTCATCATATTGGTCAGGCTGGTCTCGAACTCCTGACCTCAGGTAATCCGCCCGCCTCAGCCTCCCAAAGTGCTGGGATTACAGGTATGAGCCACTGCGCCTGGCCTCATCTTTGCCATTTTTAAGTGGACAGTTCAGCAGTTATAACTACCTTTATATTCTTTTTTTCCCTTTCATCCCCTGGCCCCTTCCTGGCCTCTGGTAAGCACCAATCTACTCTCTATCTTCATGAGATTCACTTTTTAAGATCCCGCATATGAATGTGATATTTGTCTTTCTGTGGTTGGCTTATTTCACTTAATGTAATGACCTCCAGTTTCGTCCATGTTGCTGCAAATGATCAGATATCATTCTTCTTTATGTCTGAGCAATATTCCATTGTGTATATAGATCATATTTTATTTATCCACTCATTCATTGACAGACACAGGTTGATCCCATGTTTGGTTATTGTGAATAGTGCTGCAATAATCGTAGGAGTACAGATGTCTCTTCAATACACTGATTGCCTTTCTTTTGGCTACATACCCAGCAATGGGACCGCTGCATCATATGGTAGTTCTATTTTTTGTTTTTTGAGGAACCTTCCTACTGTCCTCCATAGTGGCTGTACTAATTTACATTCTCATCAACAGCGTACGAGGTTTCCCCTTTCTCCACATCCTTGCCAGCAACTGTTATTGCCTGTCCTTTTGATACAAGCCTTTTAACTGGTGTGAGATGACATTTCATTGTGGTTTTGATTTGTATTTCTTTGATGGTTACTTACGTTGAGCAGGTTTTTTATATACCTGTTGGCCATTTGTATACCTTCTTTTGAGAAATGTCTGTTCAGATCTTTGGCACATGTTTAAATTGGTTATTTGTTTTTATGCTACAGAGTTGTTTGAGTTCTGTACATATTCTTGTTATTAATCCCTTGTCAGATGGATAGTTTGCAAATGTTTTCTCCCATTCTGTGGGTTGTCTCTTCACTTGATTGTTTCCTTTGCTGTGCAGAAGCTTTTTAGCTTAATGTGATCCCATTTGTCCATTTTTACTTTGGTTGCTCATGCTTTCTAGGTCTTATACAAAAACTCTTTGCCCAGACCAATGGTGCATGATAGGGGGTCTAGTTTCATTTTTCTGCATATAGTTCTCCAGTTTTCCCAGTATCGTCTATTGAAAAGACTGTCCTTTCCCCACTGCATGTTCTTGGTACCTTTGTCACCATTTCTTTTCTGTTTAGATTCATGGCGTTAAAGTTTATTGACTACAACTCAATGTCAAATATATATTTTACATCATGACTCTATATTCTGAGTCACATACATACACATCAACTTGCATATATATAGTGGAAATAAAGTTTCAATGGAAAAAACGCTTTTCTCCATGTGATACGTGTGGAGAGTTTCTATTCTATTGTAATTTGTTACATTTTGTTTAAGAAATGGGAGTGGTAGCTCCCTAAATTGATTTCATGGCTCATTCATGTGTCATGAGGTTCAGCTGAAAAACACTAATTTAGATGACTTGAAGGGTCAACCTTCCTCCTTCAATGCTCCCTTGAACTAGAGCCTTGGACTGGGCACAGCTCGGCCTAGTCGTGGTCCAGCAGTTTTTAAAGAAGGCCTAGGCTGGGTGCGATAGTTCATGCCTGTATTCCCAGCAGCTTGGGAGGCTGAGGTGGGAGGATCACTTGAGCCCAGGAGTTTGAGACCAGCCTGGGCAACATGGTGAGACTCCATCTCTATAAGACAAAAAAAAAAAAAAAAAAAAAAAAGAAGAAGGCCCAGACTGTGATAATATTTTGATCCTGGACCACACATAGGAGGGAGGAAAAAAGTTAAGCAAGAATGTGATCTCAGTTGAAATCTAGTTTCAGGATAATTCCACAGGGAGTTCTAGAGTATTAATTGCACCAAAAAGTTGATCATGCCTTCAGGAAAGGAGTCCAACCTTTTGTATTTTGGTATTAGCTGCAGGTTGGCTCCAGCTGGGGGTCCTGGAGGGCCTAAAACCTCAGAGTGGGGCCTGCAGCATGGGGGTTGGGGAGGCAGCTCCTGTTGTCCAAGGGCAATTACCAAAAGAAAGGGGGCAAATGTGGGCATCAATGGAGTAAAGGGATGTAGGTAGGGGGCATCAACAGTGCCTGATGCAGCTTGCTCCTTGCACTGCTGAAATCCACTTGCTTCTCATATTAACCTCCCTCTGTACAAGTGTGGTTTCTCCAGAATTCTGGCTGGTTACAATTTCTGGAAAAATCTACAAGAGGAGGGTTAGTGGGACAAACTACAGCCCCTGTTGCTACAGTTGATCCTGAGACCATAATTAGTACTCATTATCTTCAGCTTTTACCCTTTGTTCTACTTCCTCCCTCCCACAGGTATGAGCTGGCTAGATGGCCTTTGGTTATGCAAATTAAGGATTATTCTTGTTGGCTGCCTATTTCTCTTTCCCAGAAGAACTTTATGCTTTGTTTGCCATCTCCATTGATCCCTGTGAGTCAAGCCATCTGCCCTTGTTGCCCATTATGGTAACTGTGCCTATCTTGCCACTGAGGATTGATTGCCACCACCTGGCTTTGTTGTTTTGGGCTCCTCTCATTCCCACTACAAGTAGTGAGTGCAGTTCTGTAACAAGTCCTATCATTGGATCCAGCCCTTAGGCCACTCCCTAATGAAGTTCCTGCATGGAAATCTCCATCTTAGAGTCTGTTTTCTGAAGACCCAATTTGTGAGAAACAAAAATGAAATCCTGGCTGGGCATGGTAGCTCATGCCTGTAATCCCAGGACTTTGGGAGGCCGAGGCAGGCAGATCACCTGAGGTCTGGTGTTTGAGACCAACGTAGCCAACGTGGTGAAACCCAGTCTCTACCAAAAATACAAAAATAAAATTAGCTGGGCGTCCTGGTGTGCACCTGTAGTCCCAGCTACTGGGAAGGCTGAGGCACCAGAATCACTTGAACCCAGGAGATGGAGGTTGCAGTGAGTGGAGATTACACCACTGCACTCCAGCCTCAGTGACAGGGCAAGATTCCATCTCCAAACAAAACAAAACAAAACAAACAAACAAGCAAAAAACAATTCTTATGCCCCCAACTGACTGAATGGGCCTCTTCTTGGCCCAGGGGACCCCAGAAAAACCTTGAAAACTGAGTTCCCAGTGAAAATGGGATGGGAGGTTGGACCCATCTCATTAGACCCTCCTGGCTAGCTAACCACCATTAGGCTTTCTTCTCTAGGGGCTACACAGAAATCAGCTTTTTAAAAAGACTCTGCCATTGACATCAACCCACTGCCTGATGCTGCCTCTCCTTTTGGATTTCAACAAAACATCTGACCAGCATTCCTTCCTAATAAAAGACCGCTGTCCATGAAGTGGTTCTGGGCAGTGTAAGGAGGATACACAGAGAGAGTTTTCATGTCCTCTGCTTCACCTTTTGACATCATAGGGCTGAAAACTCCACCCTCGGATCATGCTAATATTGCCATTTTTTTAAACACGGGTCCCATGGAGAGGCATGAAGCTCAATGCGAATGCACATGTTTCTCTTTTCATAACACGACTCTTCCTATAGCTTAGTAAATATGTATATTTGGCCATCCTGCTCAGCATAAATTCCTGTTTCCTTTACTCCTCCCTTGAAGTGCTTGTTTCTAGCTTCTGACCAAAGGCTACGCTGACCAGCCTGTCAGAATGGCCACTCTGCTGGCTGCAAACTTTAACAAGGAGTAAAGCTCCTCTTTCTAATTTAGTTGATACCTGCAACACTGGGTTAAGCCAAATTAAATACTATTTCTATATTTAGGATTTTGTATGTATTTTATGGGAGAATACAATGTGAATTTCCATGAATATAATATAAAATATTTTGTAGAAATTCTGTTTTGTCAGATGACACTTGTCTAAACTGCCAAACTGGCATTCACTTGGACCCTCAATGTTGTCAATATTTTAAGTGAAAAATATCAGTCATTTTAATGTTTAATTCTCTTGTCATGAATATCTTTTCATGTTTATAACGTTTATATATCCTTTTTATTAAACTGTTTATTTGTTCCCATTTTAAAAATTGATTTGTTAGTCTTATTGATGTATAGAAGTTCTTTATATATTATTGGAATTAGCTCTTTGCCTGGTATGAGTGTAAAATATTTTTTCTTAATTGTCATTTGACTTGAAACTGTTAAAAGGTTATCTTCCTTTTCTTTTTTCTTTTCTTTCTCTTTTCTTCCTCCTTTCCTCTCTTCCTCTCTCTCTCCTTCTCTTTCTTGCTCCTTTCCTTCTTTTCTACCATCTTTTCTAGCCTAAGCCATTGCAATAGCCTTCTTATAATAATAGCCTGGCTTTTATTCCTGTTTCTGTCAGTTTTTTCCCCATATAAACAGCCAGAATAATTTTTGAAAAGCATACGAATATTTCACACAACTGCCTCAAATATTTCAATGGTTTTTCCGTTGTTCTCAGGGTAAGGTCCTATATTGACTTACAAGACTTCTCTGATCTGGCGCCCCATCTACCTCTGTAGCCTCGTTTGCAGCCACTTTCTGTATCGTGACGTTTTTTCCCTTTTCCTCTAATGTGCCAGTCCCCTTTCCTCTCAGGGCCTTCACATGTACTGCCACACCTCTTCATTCACCTATAATTTTGACTGGACAATTTTTTGTTCTTTAGGTCTTAGCTTAAATGGCGCTTTTGTAGAGACAATTTTTGTACTCCTTAGATTATATGCCTTTCTTGCAATCCTATAATAGCCTTCATAGCTCTTGACCCAACTCTATGGTATATAACTACTCGTTTATTTAAATATCGGTATCTCCTGCCAATGTCTAAACTTTGCGCTGTCAGGAATTCTCTCTCTCTCCTTTTGTATTTCTAGCACCTACCAAAGGGCCAAACACACAATGGATACTTGGTAAATAATTGTTTAAAATATATTGGTTGAAGGAAAGAAAAAGACTTGAGAGTTGGGCGGTAGACAAAGACTTTAGTACCGTGCCAATGAATTCATACTTTATGCTGTAGAAAATGAAAACCATTGATACATTTAATAACATGGACCAGTTTTATGTTTGTTTTATTCTTCCTTCTCTTCTTATAGAATGTTGGATTTTCAATCAATAATTATTCTTGAGTATTCTTTCATATGACCAGGAATCTACATGGGTACGTAGTAGGGCATCTTTAAATCCTTAATGAAAATGGAGTGCATTCTTTCATCATTGGTCATGGGACTTGATTTTAAAGGTATATCTATATATACCTGACTTTTTAACTTAAAGCAAATAATTCTTAAAAGAGACTTGCCATTTCTTATCGATACTCTCCCAACCAAAAATAACTTCAATGGTCTGAGCCATATCACAATATTTTATGAAATAAGTTAATATTACAGTATTAGAGAATCACAGATTTTAATGGTAATGGTATACTCAATGATATTTTTGTGAAGAAAGGAAAACACATATGTGAGTATCAGGTACTGAAAAAAAAAGTTATGTGTTTTACCTTTTTTTTTTTTTTAAACAGAGACAGGATCTAGTTCTGTCACCCAGGCTGGATGGAGTGCAGTGGCATTATCATAGCTCATTGCAGCCAGAAACTCCTGTGCTTGAGTGATCCTCCTGCCTCAGCCTTCCCAATGGCTGGGACTACAGGTATGCACCACCATGCCTAGGTAATTTTTTTATTTTTTGTAGAGGTGGGGTTTCTTTATGTTGCTCAGGCTGGTTTTGAACTCCTGGCCTCAAGGAATCCTCCTACCTTGGCCTCCCAAATGTTGGGATTACAGGCATGAGCCATTGTGCCCTGCCTGTTTTATATTTTGTAATCTAAACAATTATTAGATAATGATCTAATTATATATGATAATAACAGAATAATAAACAGAAAAGATATCTCTGTGCTTCTCTGCTCAGTAATCTTTTTTAATAATATTAGGACTTGCCTTCATTTATGTAATGTTTTTCATGTTCAAATTGCTTAACCAAAATTAAGTAATTAATCCTTATAAAATTCTGCAAGGCAGATAAGAATTATCTTCATTTTACAGATTAAGTCGAATGTACCATATTCCAAATGATTAAGGCTTCGAAATCTCCGATACCAAATGGTCTATGTTCCCCTGGAAGCATGTGGAAACCTAAATTTACATAGTAATTATGTGTTCAATTGTGCTGAGGAAGCAAGCGGCAGGCCCAGATAATCTTCCAAAAAAGAAAGAAAGAAAGAAAAATATTGATAATATACCAAAAATGAGTAATGTGGTTTTTAAAACCTTGTTCAATGATAATATTATTATTCACATATAGCGATTCTTCAGAAGTCCTCCTATGCTAAAAACAAAAACAGAAAAACCCCGCAAGAACCTTGGTAAATGCTAATGTTTTATGCAGAGAATAAATTCAATAGGATGATGAAATTTGCATCTTGAAAGATGAAAAAGGATCCTCAGTCTATTTGGAGATAATGATGATGTACAGCTATTTCCTTATCATTTAGTACATAAATTCAAGTATTGGGCTGTATTCTGCTTACTGTGAATATGCCTTGTGGGTGAGGAGAATTTGTGTTAAAAAAAGAAATTGTGAAATGTTAATAAGAATGTAATTCCTTAGCCTTACATTGTGGAAGGACTCTGATAAATATACCATTTCTATTTTTGAAAAAACATAGCACTTTTCTCAAGGCAGAGGGACAAGTCATAATTGTCAGTCAAAAAATGAGAAAAGTTGTCTATCTATCTGTCTATCTGTCTATCTATCTATCTATCTATCCATCTTAGTTTTCCCAAAACAGAAGATTCTAGTCAACCTGAGTCAGCATAACAGGAAAGTCCCCTCTGTTTTAACCCTATATAAAGAAAGTAACTTTGACGGCCAGGTATGATGGCTCATGCATGTAATCCCAGCAGTTTGGGAGGCCAAAGTGGGAGGATTGTTTGAGCACAGGGGTTCAAAACCAGTCTGGGCAACATGGTGAAACCTTGTCTCCACAAAAAATACAAAAACAAAAAATACAAAAATTAGCCAGGCATGGTGGCATGCATCTGTGGTCCCAGCTACTGGAGAAGCTTAGGTGGGAGGATCATTTTAGCCTGAGAGGTTGAGGCTGCAGTGAGCCGTTATTGTACCACTTTGCTGCTCCAGCCTGGGCGACAGAGCAAAAAGACCTTGTCTCAAAAAAAAAAAAAAAGTAACTTTGAAAACACCAATCTGCTTTTTGTTCTCTGCTTCTGCTTTCTTCAGCCCTTTTTCTGCCCATAAAGTCAACCTCATCTGCTGAGCTCAATGGAGCACTCATTCTACTTTACAGAATAAGGTGTTGCTGATACTAGAAGTCAAAATAAAAGCCAGCTAGATTTTTATTGTAATTTTGTCTTTTGACAGAGCTAAAAAAAGATCCAGGTAAGTTAAAATACCAGAAAACAGTAGTTTTCAAGATGAGAAGGTGTGGCCCGAATTAAAGTATTTGAAGTCTTTATAATAATTGAGAGGAGGGAAAAATTATATCTTCTGATATTAAGATAGCTATACATTTTGTATTTTAGGTCACTCACTAAAGAACAGAAATAAAGTATAAAAATTTTAACATATTTGAAGAAGAGAGATGAAATGAGAAATTTGTTTATAGAAGTTAGTCCAACTCTTTTAACCTGTCAATATAAGTTAGAGAATGCTATGTAATCTGTCATGTCTTGAAATGAAACATTTTAATCCTCTTCCTCTTCCATCTTTTCCTTTTCTTTTTCCTTTCTGCTTTCCTTAAACATTCATTGGGCACCTGATGTGGGATAGAACTTAGGTCCTATGGATTCAGAGATAAATGAGACAAAGAAGGAAGGAAGAATCTGATGAAGACAAGAAACGCATCCTTTTGATTGAGGGAGATATGAGTGGGGTTTCAATGGGGAAACTATGGTAGTCAGAGGAGAGTAGGAGGCCACTAGACTCGTCTTTGGTTAGCTACCAAAGGTGAACGTTGCATCGTTGAGAGAGTGACATAGATAATCTGCATTGACTTGGAAACCATATTTGATCAATTAATGCAGCTTTAATTTTTTTTTTTTTTTTTTTTTTGAGACAGAATCTTGCTCTGTCGCCCAGGCTGGAGTGCAGTGGCGCGATCTCGGCTCACTGCAAGCTCTGCCTCCCGGGTTCACGCCATTCTCCTGCCTCAGCCTCCTGAGTAGCTGGAATTACAGGCACATGCCACCACACCCGGCTAATTTTTTTGTATTTTTAGTAGAGACGGGTTTCACCGCGTTAACCAGGATGGTCTCGATCTCTTGACCTCGTGATCTGCCCGCCTCAGCCTCTCAAAGTGCTGGGATTACAGGCGTGAGTCACTGCGCCCGGCCATAGCTTTAATTTTTTTTTTCAAAAAAAGTGATAGAGTCGAAAAGATAAAAAATTAGGCACTGACTTTCTGCAGATGATTTTTCCTTCCCTAGCATTTATAGAATACTTTTTATGTGCTAAATACTTTACATTCATTAAACCACTTTATTCTTTCAAATGAAATATGAGGTAGGTACTAGTATTATTTCTATTTTAAAGATGGGCAAATTCAGGCTAAACTAGGTAAAATGACTTGCACAAGAGCTATCCGATTCCAGGACGTAGGAACAGAAAGGGATCCATGCTCGAATAAGTTTGGGATATACAGGATTAAAGATATTTAGCATGCAACTTTCCTGATGTGTTTTTCAGGTACTTTATGAGTTCCCTAAAAGGGTGCTGCAGTATGTAACATTTTCCCAACTTGTGGAACTGGTGGGTTGAACCAACACAACTTTTAGGACGGAATCTAAATGCAAATTTATTTTGTCTCCCACCATTCCTCTAAAATTTTTTCAGAGGAGATGTACTTCTCTAGCCCCTGGCTGAAAACTTGAAAAGGCCAGATTTTCTGATCACCCAGTAATAAAATGTTTCATTTACTTCAAGTAGAAAACAGCATCTTAGTTGGGAATTTGCATGTTAGGGTAAAGTTCACAATCTGCTTGCATTTTTATTCTGAAAAGGATTTAAGCATCCAATCCATAGTGGCAGACCAATTATCTCGAACATAAGCATCTTAAAGATTATAATAAAAATAACATTTAAAGAAAAGGAAAATTTTAGCGTTGTATTCAGTAAACATTACATTTGCATACTTCACAGTAATATAGCATACTGTAAAGTGAAATAATGTAAGCAAAATAAATATCCATAATTAATTAGTTTCTTCAGATGAAACAGCGAGAGGCCAAAATACTAAAAAGGAAATAAATACAGAGACTTTTTGAAACAAACATTTGAATGAGAGAATCCTTAGCATAGCTTAGTGTAGACTGAATCACAGAAAAGGATCTTTTCTTTTTGAGACAGAGTCTCTCTCTGTCGCCCAGGCTGGAGTACAGTGGCTCAATCTCGGCTCACTGCGACCTCTGCCTCCCAGGTTTGAATGATTCTCCTGCCTCAGCCTCCTGAGTAGCTGGGATTACAGGCATGTGCCACCATGCCCAGCTAATTTTTGTATTTTTAGTAGAGACAGGGTCACCTTTTTGCCCAGGCTGCTCTCGAACTCCTGGCCTCATGTGATCCGCCTGCCTTGGCCTCCCAAAGTGTTGGGATTACAGGCGTGAATCACTGCGCCCGATCCTTAAATAAATTAAGGATCTTAATTTATTTGTGACATATATTTAAAATATAGCTCTCTGTGACATTTGTGACATTGCTGTGGAATAAACGAGTTCAAATGGAGAAGAGAATCCATAGGCTAAGCAAACTGCTTAAGTCATACAATTGGATGGTTTAAAGAAGGTCTTAGAAAAACTGAAATCTCCAAACAAACAAAACAAAACAGGTGTGTTTGTAGTAGTCTAGTGAAAATATTAAAGCCTAAAGTTTTTTTTTAATACAGAAAAATAGAAAATTACCTGGAGTCATTTTATATAATATATACATGTCATATCTTTTATATGTTTTCAAACTTTGTAAAATGGCTAAACAAATACATGTAGCTTCTAGTAGAGATACATTTTATGATTAGAAATAATGTTGGTACTACTATTCTTTTTGCTTTAAGACCACCACTGTAATATATACTGTTAAACCAACAAGAACTGTTTTGTGAAATTAAACTCCGTTAGGAGAAAAACAGGTTTTGTAAGTCCTTATTCTTCCAATGCCTTCTCTGTTGTCAGTCCCTCCACATGTTGATTCTTTCTTTGCTTGACTTTCAAGACTCTAAAAGCCTTTCTGCCTCTGTCACTCCTCTATCTCCTTGCTGGTTATACTTCTTCCTCTTGACCTTGAACACGGAATTTGGTCCTTGACATTCTGCTGTTTCTTCACAATGGTCTTTCCTTAGGCAGTTCACTGAGATGCTCCTCAAATCCACCCTGGCCATGACATTTTCCTCTGAGATTTATTTCCCTATCTCTATCTGCCAGCTGGACATATTTCTTATGGTCAATTATGCTTGAATTACTGGAGTCAGCTTTAGCTTTTCTCTCTTGTTTGTCTTCATATCAAATTAGTCACAATTCTTCTTTTCTGATTCATCTTTTCAGATTAGCAGGAGTCCAAAGCCCTGGACCTATGCTACCCTCATGATTTCCCTCATGATTATGCTACCCTCATGATCATGCTACCCCTCATGATTTCCTAGACATGAGGGGAGGGTGGGCTTGTGAAGGAGACCATGCATGATTCAAGAGGGAGATTCCCAGGGTGAAGCCCAAATTGAGAGCAGGCAGCCAGCCTAACTATGACTCCTTCACAAACAGACTAGGCAGAGTGTGAGAACCTAAGTTGAGTCAAATTGGTGGAAACAGGGACATAAGACTTGAAGAAGTTGGCCAGGTACGGTGGCTCATGTCCGTAATCTCCCAACACTTTGGGAGGCGAGGGGAGCAGATCACTTGAGGTCAGGAGTTCAAGACCAGCCTGGCCAACGTGGTAAAACCCTGTCTCTACTAAAAATACAAAAATTATCTGAGCGTGGTGGCAGGTGCCTGTAATCCCAGCTACTTGGGAAGCTGAGACAGGAGAATCGCTTGAACCTGGGAGGTGGAGGTTGCAGTGTTCGAGATTGCGCCACTGGGCAACAGAGCGAGACTCTGTCTCAAAATAAATAAAAACAATAAAAATTAAAAAAAGATTTGAAAAAAAAAGACTTGAAGAAGTCGGTCTGAACTGGAGTGTGGGAAGCAAAGTTGGTGGAATTCCATGAGCTGTCAGAACATCACCATACATATTATTTAATAGCCCATGGACTAAAACACCTTAGATATTTTTATAATGCATCTTCAGCCTTATAAATGGAATGATCTCTTACAGGCACTTCTTCTACATATGAATATTATAATAATCTCCTAATTGGTTTTTGGATCTCAAATCTTTACCTTTACTCTATATCTTGTAGTAACTTTTAGGTTACTTTCCTTAAAACACTTTCTTTATCTATGCCTATTCCCTGTTCAAAATTACATTGACTCTCTTTTATCCATGAGATAAAAATCATTTGCCTGGCAATGGAAGCCTCCTAAACATATATATATATATATATATATATATGTATATATATCCCACTAATTACTTATATGCAGCCCTCATTCCAGGGAAACCAGGCTACTTAGTACTCATAACACACAATAGGTGAAGTCTCACACCATTCTCATGCTATTCCTATATTAATGCCCCTTCACAAAAAATAACCCCCTCAGTTTTCTTTGCAAGTATAAGGCCTCCAGATTTCCTAGGCCACATTAAAACCTGTCTACACTTTCTTCTGTAACTTACCAGCTAACTGCCATAGCCATTAAGGACAACCACAGAATTTGTAACAGCCACTGCCACCATTTGTTTAGTTTTATTAAATGCTGAGTACTTTACATACATTAGCTGGTTTAATGTCTTATTTATTCCTTATTTGTTATTACTAAATTCTTTGTGTCCTCAGAGCCTAAACATGGTATTATGCATATAACAGAGAGTCATAATTTACTGATGTTTGTATTGATGTGCCAGCATTTTAAGAATGGGAAGGCCATTGGAATTTGGCTATTTAAATTATTTTCTTCTACCTAGTTTCACCTGAATTTTTTTCATAGAAATGTTTATATGATAATAATGAGGAAAATTCTTAGAATGCTGCTATCTCAGAATGCCTTTTGTCTCCATAATTGCTTCTCCAGGTAATATATGTTGTACCCTAAGGTATTTTGACTGCATTGTGATGCTAATGTATATGTAAATATCATAAAGGGAATATAACTACCATGCTCATTTTAGTTGCATGAAGTGAGGGTTCAGGAAAGGAGAGAATTAATGTCTGCCAGTGGAAAATAATAAAGCTAATGAGAAAATAAACTTTACCTTTCAACCATCATAAAGTCCATTAGCAAATAACAACAAAGACTGGAGAAAGAATTAAAATTCATTAAAAAAAATCTTGTGCTCTCCTTAATGTGTTTTGCTTCCTAATATAATTCCTGTTTGCTACGATTTTCCACTTTTCGTTATCTTAACAGGCTGTTCTCATTTCGATAGCACTCCCAGTTGAGTTCCACATACCCTCCTGTGTGTCATATACCCTTAATACTTTTCACCTTTTTGTTTCTATGCCTGCCGGTCTGTTTTGAAACTTACTTTGGAGAGTGTGTTAAATATCCTACCTTCTAGTACACTAAAGATAATTATGTCCTTGTTGGCTTACCAGGCGTGCCAATGATGTTAATCTATGTAAGGATTAAAATTGTGGGTTATTCACAAACAATAAAGAAGCCATTCTGATTTCCTATATTATTCTCATAGGCACAGCAGGAAGCGGATACAGTATGTTGTCATTTCTTCTTGTTTTGTTGGCATAATGGAATGAAGGTGCAAGAAAGATACTGCCACCCCAAAGCACATCCCTCTTTGTCACCTGTGCCTGCTAATTTAACATTAATGAGTCATTCCCACATGTTAGGCATTGCCTTCTCTTTTTATCTTCCTTAAAAATGCAAGTACTCTTAAGGTATAATACATTAAGTCTGGTCCCTAACACTTCATTCATTCATTCATCCATCCATTCAGTTAAAACGCCTGTATATTGTAGATTACTTGTCGATAGGGGCAACATAGCTGTAAACTTGACAGGTGAGGCCTTGCCCTTAAGTGCTGACATTCTAATGTCAGAGACAGATGACCAATAAACACTCAAATAATGTAAAAAAAATAGTTAACTGATGGGAGGAAGTTATGAGGGAAATAGACAGGTAATGCCATAGATAATACAGTGGGGCTAACTAGTGAGAAGGGCCACTTTAGGCAGAAATGTACCTCTCTGAGGAATTGGTATTTGGGAAATCACGTGAAAGGCCTTGAGACTGGCGGCAAAGGAGTGAGGCTGGAGTACAGTGAGCATGGGGTGGTGGTGGTGGTGACAGTGGTGGCACCTGATGGGAACAAAAACCAGATTTCTTAGGGCCTTGTAAATCATGGTAAGGAATTCAGGCTTTATTTTAAGAGCAATGGGAAGCCACCCATGGGATTTCATCAGAGGAGCGGCACGATCCTACTTATGCTTTTAAAAACTCACTCTGGCTGTGTTATAGAACATATTTGCAGCTAGTTAGTGGTAGGCTGAGATCTGCCCACAGCCATTCTGCTCCAGCGCCCAGGTTCTTCCTTACTGCACCGCACTCTATTTCCTTGCCTTTGTGCTTTGTATTCCCTGTGCCTGGAGCAGCCTCCTTCTTCCCTGAGCCACCCATTCTCGAGCTGGCAAATTCCTACTTTCTTTTTTAGATACAAGCTCAGATGCTACCTCCTCTATGAAGAGGATGACTCTACAGTTTATCATCCTCACTAAGACACTTGTGAGTGTGCAAGGGGGCGCTGCTAGAAACTCTGCTAAATATGTGTAAAATCAACCGTCTCAACAAACAGGGATATATGGCTGTCTTTGCTTCCAAGTGGCTTTTACTTATTTACTTATTTTTTAGAGAATTTATAATTTATTGTTATTAGGCATAAGAAATTAAATGTGAATAGCTGCACAGTGCCCACTAATCCAAAGCAATATAATCAAGTGGTAGGTATTGTTGTCAGTCAGTGTACCAAGAAACAAACAAACAAGCAAAAAGAACGATAGAACTTGGGGAAATGACCCACAAGATTGAGACTCCTATTGTTCATTTTAAGTAAACACATGCACACACACACGATTATGTCATTCAAAAGTAGACTTTGTATATGTAAATTTTTTTTTTTTCTTTCTGAGGTGGAGTCTCACTATGTCACCCAGGCTGGAGTGCAGTGGCATGCTCTCGGCTCACTGCAACCTCTGCCTCCCGGGTTCAAGCGATTCTCCTGCCTCAGCCTCCCAAGCAGTTGGGATTATAGGTACCTGCCACCATGCCCAGCTAATTTTTGTATTTTTAGTAGAGATGGGGTTTCCCCTTGTTGGCCAGGCTGGTCTCATACTCCTGACCTCAAATGATCCACCAGCCTCGGCCTCCCAAAGTGCTGGGATTACAGGCGTGAGCCACTGTACCTAGCCCTTAACTTTTTTTGACAGGGTCTCACTTTGTCACCCAGACTGGAATGCAGTGGCGTGATCTCGACTCACTGCAGCCTTGACCTTCCAGGCTCAAGAGATCCTCCCACCTCAGCCCCCTGAGTAGCTGGGACTACAGATGTATGCTACCATGCCTGGGTAATATTTTGTATTTTTTGTAGAGTTGGTGTCTTGCCACACTGCACAGGCTTGTCTCAAACTCTTGAGCTCAAGTGATACACTCGCCTCAGCCTCCCAAAATGCTGGGATTACAGGTGTGAGCCTCCATGCCCAGCCAAAAATTGAGTTTTTAAAGGCAATTATCTGAATTTAGTTTTTCATTAGTCCATTGGGTTACCGTTATTCCTTGGACTTGTGAGATACTGACAGGGCCCTCAATAGAAGTACCTATGGCTAATATAAAAGTTCTAACAACAGGAACTTGTTCCTCAATAATACAAAATAAATATTTAGATCTGCACTTGGTTCATTTCTGAGTAAGATATAATGTGGTAAGCATTGTATTCCAATACTTAGGAAAATAGACTAGGGTTTGAGAAGTGGGCTTACATGTGAGTAATGCAGGTGACCACAACAGTCAACTTGTTCCTCAAATCTACCTAACTTACTACCTCTCAAGTGATATGCAGCTCCTTGACAAACATTTATCACATATTTATTAGAATTGCCTTTTATGACCTGTATCCTTTGGTAGCCTCTCAGGTCTTTAGGAGAAATAATGGTCTTATTTTTCATTTATCTCAGTGGATGGTGTAGCACTTGGCACATATTCACTGACATTCAGGATTTTAGCGATTGAACAAATGAGTGAATGTATCTATTTTGAGAACAAAATGTTAGGAGATACAGGAGCTACAATGATGACTAAGATATAGTTGCAAGTTCTTCCTTGCGTTCTTACTTCTTTTATTTTCAATATTTTCTTCAAAAATTCAAATGCCACTTGGAGAATTATACTCTAATTTACTGTCATGGATATTAGCTGGTGCCACTGAATAAGAAAGATTCCTAGGAGGGAATATAAGAGAAAATAGACCAGAAAATGGCACACTGAGAGGTGATTTGAAACTTTATGGATTTTTCTCTAATGTCAGTGAACATTCTCTTATAAAACATTATTTCATTTTCATTAAAAAAATCATTCATCGATATTGGTGAATTTGAAATTCAAGTCAAGTACATACAAAAACTAAATACCAAGTGATGAAGCAACTTAATTTTACTACTTATGAGTACATTAAATTTTATTGAAATGAGCTGATTTAAAGTACAAGTCCCTCAGTATAGTCCATTTGATTTGAGTCCTACAGTGTAATTAGGTAAGATAATGCTGCATAAGTTGTTATGTATGTAATTTTTGTGTACATAAATGTATATACACATCATGCCATAGAGATAAATTGTTAGATATGTATGCAAGGTAATATTTTATATATGGCATTTAATTTACAAAATGAATGCTTTAATTATTTTACTACCCTCAAAAGAAGAAGGAAAGCAAAACCAATACAATTGATAAAAACACGTAGAGATATGATAAGGAAATATTTTTTCATTTAGAAAATGACACATTTTTATAGCCACAGCTGTTCTTTAAAGCCAGTAAAGAGAGTTTTTAAAAAACATTTATTTTATTTCAATAGTTTTTGGAGGACAGATGGTTTTTGGTTACATGAATAAGTTCTTTAGTGGTGATTTCTGAGATTTTGTTGCACCCGAGCAGTGTACACTGTAGCCAATGTGTAGTCTTTTATCCCTCATCCCTTCCCATCCTTCCCTTTTAAGTCCCCAAGGTTCATTATACCGTTCTTATCCCTTTGCATCCTCATAGCTTAGCTCCCATATGATATTTGGGTTTCCATTCCTGAGTTACTTCACTTAGAATAGTGGTCTCCAACTCCATCCAGGTTGCTGCACATGCCATTATTTTATTCCTTTTTATGGCTGAGTAGTATTCCATGGTGAATGTATACTACATTTTCTTTATCCACTTGTTGGCTGATGGGCATTTAGGCTGGTTCCATATTTTTGCAATTGTGAACTGTGCTGCTATAAACATGCATGTGCAAGTGTCTTTTTCACGTAATGAAGGAGAGAGATTTTCATATTTGTGAAGACTTCTTGAATAGGTCTTGCAAATATTCTGTCGTTACAGTTTTGTGATTAAGTAAGCTGAATTGATCAAGCCTTTAGGGAAGACTGTTAAAAACAAAAGGAGGAGGAACATTTTATAGTAACATGGTTTGAGTAGTTTGCAGTTGCTAATTTTAGCTTATAATTTATTAGATCTTCTTGATGAATCTGAAGTTATTGCTTTGGTGCATTTCGTACAAATGATTTTGCCATAAATCTTTAATGAACTTTTAATTTTAATCTCTCTAGTTGATGCATAAAAATGGAACACTTCTGTGGCACTGGAAAAAAAGTACACAAGTTTAGAAAACATGGGTTTAAAGAGGACACAACATTTTTGATGGTGATTTAGAAATAGCAAACACACACATAGAGGAAATAACTCTCCAGGTTAAAAAAAAACCTCATTTGTTTTTTCTTAGGTACATGCTCTCAATATGCTGTTAAATCAAGTTATTCAACAAGTGTTTATTGACTACTGTGTGCCTTTAATGTTCGTACTAGTAATCTCCAGTGACATTTACCGAGTGTGTACTGGGTGTAGATTACTGTACTAGAGGGAGTTAGTGGTTTGTTTATTTGTAGCAGACGCAGGTGCTGCTGTGTTTTTTGGGGCCTGATGGTTTACTGACATAGGCTGTAGTCTCTTCAGAGAAAAGGGTTAGTTCAGGTGCTAAGAAGGCCGTCTGAAACAAAGGGATAGCTTTGTAACAGAAAAATTTCTACATTTCAGGCCAAATTTTGGAAAAGCTATTTCATGTATTTTTTCTAAAATTCTCCTGTCTACTTTTTGAATGGCTACAATATAGCTATTAAAGGAGAGAGTCTTCAAAGGAGAGAAGAGGAATTTGGGAAAGGTCAGTAAGACCCTCTAGGTGGGGCAGCAGGAACTGCCTTGAGCATGATAGAAATCCAGTGGGATCTTGTAAAGTGTGAGTAGGTTCTCAGAGGATCTCTAGATTTGTTTAAATATGAGTAAGTTCTCAGAGGATCTCTAGATTTGTTTAAGTAATCTCAGAAATCATCTGTATGTGGATATTAAACATAACTCCTCAAACCAGTCTTGTGCAACTCCATTAGAATGCAGTTTCTGTAGTTAAATGAATTCTGCTGAATTAACTAGACCTTGGACTATAGCTTTTAACATGTTAAATAATTATTTTGAATTATAGGCAGGAAAATTAAGAAAGTAATACATTTGGAAAATGGTCTATATTTGTGGCAATGAAAAAATATAGGTTTTAAAAATTACATGCACACACACAAACTGCCAAGGAGAATCAAAGCAACTTAAAAAACAATTAAATGTAAATAAACAATATCAATAAAAAAACTGAGCCATACTTAGGTATTCAAATAATTGATATTGGGCTTTATTTTTAAGGGGAATATGAATTTTTAATAGAAATCTCTAGAACTTTTAAATTCCACTTTTAAAATAACTTAAAAAATTATGCAAATAGCACACTTTCATTGTACAAAATTAACAAATATAAATGTATAAAAGAGAAAGAAAATTGAAAAAAGAAGCTTTACTAATTCTATGAGTACCAGGTAACCATTGTTTAAATTTTGATGTATTTATGTACTTATTTATATGTGTACATGTTAACAAAAGCAGATAATGCAGGTGTTCTCTTAGAGTATTGAAGAGGAGGGGAGTGGGTGGGCAGTGTAGGTAGCACAGTTCATCCCACATATAACCCACCTATGTGACAATTCCAGCAGCAGGTTCTTAAGAGAGAGGCTCTTGAGATGGTGGGGGGAAAGCAATGATTCCACACATGGTCCCAGTGTTCCATGTATCTTCCTTTTGGTTCCAGGGCTGGATATTTCTAGCAGTAGGGAATTTATTTCTTAAGAAGAATGTGTCTGGTGGTGAATTTATTTTGGAACTCCCTCTGGAGCAAGATTTTGCTGCTTCTGGGCTCCTACATCTGTGGCATATGTAGGAAAGCCAAGGATGCAATTCAAATGAGGAAGGTGCACACTGAGGTAGCTTCATGTACCAGGTCTTGCTCCTCTTAAAATATGCCCCAACTCAGTCCTTGTCATCAGTAGCAGGAGATTAATCCTCCCTGGCTAATCCCCTAAAAGGAATTCTGGGACAGATGAGAGATATAGGAAGTATCCTTCCATCCTTTTCCACAAGATCTGTGTTTATGAACTAATAACAATAACAGGAACACAATCATTGAGGATTTACCTCATCCCAGGCCCTAGACGCATTAATGCATTCAGTTTTGACAACACCTCATGAGGGTTCTTGTGTCAGTCTGCTCAGGCTGCCATAGCAAAATACCAGAGTCGGGGAGCTTATACAACAGAAATGTATTTCTCACAGTTCTGGAGGCTGGAAATCCAAGGGTTGGTATCTGGTGAGTCGTCTCTCCTTGGCTTGCAGATGCCTGCCTTCTTGCTGTGTCCTCACATGGTGTTTTCCTTGTGCATGTGAATACTTGGTATCTCCTCTTATTATAAGGACATCAGTCCTATTAAATTAAGGTCCTGCCCTTATGACCTTATTTAACATTAATTACCTCTGTAGAGGCCCCATCTCCTAAAGCAGTCATACTGGGACTTTAGGGCTTCAACGTATGCATTTTGGGAAGACACAATTCAATTTATAACAGTGGTACTCTTATTATTCACATTTTACAGAAGAGAAACAGATTTTATTTTACCAAGATCATCCAGCTAGATGATGATAAAACTTAAATCCAACTTTGTCTAATCTGGAAGGCATATTCTGGACCACCATACTATACTGCTATAAGATGCAATTTAGGTACATAGTTCGCTCTGGAGTTCCATTCTACTCTATAACTATTGTAAGTTCCTATAAGATTCTGACATTAGGTTATCCTCCAGTTTAGTTTTCAAGATTATTTTGAATTTTTAGCACTCTTCTTGGTCTCCTGAATGTTTTTGTGAGAATATGAGAGAAAATATATGGTCACCATTAAATGATTTTGAGCCATTTGGGCTAGCTAATTCCAGATATCAACTATATTTTGTAGTGGGAAAAAGAACTGACTCTGTAATGGTATCAAATCTGTAGCTTTTCTTACCAGATTGTAGCAGGAGTACTTTAACCCAAGTAAAATGCCTGCTTGCTACCTATTTCCTATTGATTGTAGTAGTTCTTTATTGAAGAGAACAAAGCATCAGAGATTCACAATACCCGTTTTTCCTAAGTTATCAAAAGCTCTATTGTGTAATAATGCTGCCTTACAGTTTTTCATAGGAGAACTCTATTTGCCCTTAAAAGAATTATAATTCTGAAGTCACGAGGCAAAAAACATTGAAAGTTAAGCTGACGTTTCTATGCCTCTTTAGTTTTCTGGTATCACTGACAATATGGATCGGGAATGGGCTGTTGCTAGCAAAGTTTCTAGTCCTGAATTGGCATGATCACAGAGCACAGGATCTTTTCAAACACCACATGATGAGTATACAAGGCATTTGACAGATAAAATGCCGTAATGGAAGTTTTTTTTTTTTTTTTTTTTGACAGAATCTTGGTCTGTTGCCTGGTCTGGAGTGCAGTGGTACGATCATAGCTCACTGCAGCCTCGACCTCCAGGGTCAAGCAATCCTTTCACCTCGGTCTCCCCTGAGTAGCTGGGGGTACAGGAATATGCCACAACACCTGGCTAATTTTTTTATTTGTTGTAGAGACAGTGTATCCCTATGTTGTTATCACCAGCAAGCCCTTAATAGTGCTCAGAGGGTGGAATGCAATGACTGGCTTAGCCTAGTAAACAGCTGGTTTACCCCCAGCTGTTCTAGAACCACATGGATATTATATCATGGATGAAGGGTAGAATGGTTGTTAGGATGATTGCCAAAATACCCAATTGTATTCATAAATATCCTTTTTAGGGGACCTGAACCAAAACTTAAAAGCAAAAGATATCTGGGGTCTATTTAAGTTCCACTAGATCAGTTAGGAAGTATTAGCTTGCATCACAGGAAGAAACTAGCACAGACTGGCCAAATAATAGGAACAGGAAATTTATTTACAAAACTGAGAAGTTCAGCAGCAATGTAGACTTCAGGCATAATTTGATCAATATATGAAGTCATCCTGCAATTATTTTGGCTGTACACTACTCTGTGTGTCTACTTCTTCTACTGCTGACTCTCTTTATGGTAATAAAGTGGTAACAATTCTAGCTATCACACACTTTTGAAAAGTAGAGATTGGTGTGCCAGGAATTTCTAGCGTAAGGCCTGAGATTTTCTGTTTGACTAGACTAGATCACACGTGCCCCAATGAGCCATGAATAGTGCTCAAAGGGCGAAATGCAATGATTGGCTTAGCTGAGGTTATGTACTCCATTCCTGGAGCTGGGGGTAAAGCCAGCTGTTCTAGAACCACATGGATGTTATATCATGGATGAGGGGTAGAATGTTTATTAGGATATCATGGATGAGGGGTAGAATGGTTGTTAGGATATCATGGATGAGGGGTAGAATGGTTGTTAGGATGATTACCAAAATATTCAATTGTATTCATAAATACTGTTTTTAGGGGACCTGAACCAAAACAAAAGCAAAAGGGATTATTTGAAAATAAATTATGCGGGGTCGCTTATAAGGTGGCCGAATAGGAACAGCTCCGGTCTTCAGCTCCCAGTGAGATTGACACAGAAGATGAGTGATTTCTGCATTTCCAACTGGGGTACCTGGTTCATCTCACTGGGACTGGTTGGACAGTGGGTGCCACCCATGGAGGGCAAGCTGAAGCAGGGCAGGGCATTGCCTCACCTAGGAAGCACAAGGGGTTGGGGGATTTCCCTTTTCTAGCCAAGGGAAGCCATGACAGACTGTACCTGGAGAAATGGTACACTCCTGACCAAATACTGTGCTTTTCCCACAGTCTTAGTGACTGGCGGACCAGGAGATACAGTCCCATGCCTGGCTCGGCGGGTCCCATGCACATGGAGGCTTGCTCACTGCTAGCGCAGCAGTCTGAGGTCAACCTGCAATGCTGCAGCTTGACAGGGGGAGGGGTGTCTGCCATTGCTGAGGCTTGAATAGCTCACAGTGTAAACAAAGCAGCCGGGAAGCTTGAACTGGGCAGAGCCCACCACAGCTCAGCAAGGACTACTGTCTCTCTAGATTCCACCTCTGGGGGCAGGGCATAGCAGAACAAAAGGCAGCAGAAATTTCTGCAGACTTAAATGTCCCTGTCTGACAGCTCTGAAGAGAGCAATGGTTCTCCCAGCATGGCGTTCAAGCACCAAGATTGGACAGACTGCCTCCTCAAGCGGGTCCCTGGCCCCTGTGTAGCCTGACTAGGAGAAACCTCCCAGTAGGGGCCGACAGACACGTCATACAGGTGGGTGCCCCTCTGGGATGAAGATTCCAGAGGAAGGATCAGGCAGCAATATTTGCTGTTCTGCAGTCTCTGCTGGTGATACTCAGGCAAACAGCGTCTGGAGTGGACCTCCAGCAAACTCCAACAGACCTGCAGCTGAGGGGCCTGACTGTTAGAAGGAAAACTCACAAACAGAAAGGAATAGCATCAACATCAACAAAAAGGACATCTACACCAAAACCCCATCTGTAGGTCACCAACATCAAAGACCAAAAGTAGATAAAACCACAAACACAGGGAAAAACTAGAGCAGAAAAGCTGAAAATGCCAAAAACCGGAGCGCCTCTTCTCCTCCAAAGGATTGCAGCTCCTTGCCAGCAAGGGAACGAAACTTGACGGAGAATAACTTTGATGAGTTTACAGAAGTAGACTTCAGAAGGTCGGTAATAACAAACTTCTCCAAGCTAAAGGAGCATGTTCTAACCCATCGCAAGGAAGCTAAAAACCTTGAAGAAAGGTTAGATGAATGACTAACTAGAATAAACAGTGTAGAGAAGACCTTAAATGACCCGATGGAGTTGAAAACCACAGCACGAGAACTTTGTGACACATGCACAAGCTTCAATAGCCAATTTGATCAAGTGGAAGAAAGGATATCAGTGATTTAAGATCAAATAAATGAAATAAAGTGAGAAGACAAGATTAGAGAAAAAAGAATGAAAAGAAACGAAGAAAGCCTCCAAGAAATATGGGACTATGTGAAAAGACTAAATCTACGTTTGATTGGTGTACCAGAAAGTGACAGGGAGAATGGAACCAAGTTAGAAAACACTCTTCAGGATATTATCCAGGAGAACTTCACTAACCTAGCAAGGCAGGCCAACATTCAAATTCAGGAAATACGGAGAACACCACAAAGATGTTCCTTGAGAAGAGCAACCCCAAGACACATAATCATCAGATTCACCAACGTTGAAATGAAGGAAAAAATGTAAAGGGCAGCCAGAGAGAAAAGTAGGGTTACCCACAAAGGGAAGTCCATCAGACTAACAGCAGATCTCTCAGCAGAAACCCTACAAGCCAGAAGAGAGTGGGGGCCAATATTCAACATTCTTAAAGGAAAGAATTTTCAACCCAGAATCTCATATCCAGCCAAACTAAGCTTCATAAGTGAAGGAGAAATAAAATCCTTTACAGATAAGCAAATGCTGAGAGATTTTGTCACCACCAGGCCTGCCTTACAAGAACTCCTGAAGAAAGTACTAAACATGGAAAGGGACAACCGGTACTAGCCACTGCAAAAACATGCCAAATTGCAAAGACCATCAATGCTATGAAGAAACTGCATCAATTAATGGACAAAATAACCAGCTAACATCATAATGACAGGATCAAATTCAAATATAACAATATTAACCTTAAATGTAAATGGGCTAAATACTCCAATTAAAAGACACAGACTGGCAAACTGGATAAAGAGTCAAGACCCATCAGTGTGCTGTGTTTAAGAGAGCCATCTCACAGGCGAAGACGCACATAGACTCCAAATAAAGGGATGGAGGAAAATCTACCAAGCAAATGGAAAGCAAATAAAAGTGGGGGTTGCAATCCTAGTCTCTGATAAAACAGACTTTAAACCAACAAAGATCAAAAGAGACAAAGAAGGCCATTACATAATGGTAAAGGAATAAATTCAACAAGAAGAGCTAACTATCCTAAATATATATGCACCAATACAGGAGCCCAGATTCATAAAGCAAGTCCTTAGAGACCTACAAAGAGACTTAGACTCCCACACAATAATAATGGGAGACTTTAACACTCCACTGTCAATATTAGACAGATCAATGAGACAGAATGTTAACAAGGCTATCCAGGACTTGAACTCAGCTCTGGACCAAGCTGACTTAATAGACATCTACACAACTCTCCACCCCAAATCAACAGAGTATACATTCTTCTCAGCACCACATTGCACTTATTCTGTAATTGACCACATAGTTGGAAGTAAAGCACTCCTCAGCAAATGCAAAAGAACAGAAATCACAACAAAGAAGTCTCTCACACCACAGTGCAATCAAATTAGAATTCGGGATTAAGAAACTCACTCAAAACCACACAACTACATGGAAACTGAACAACCTGCTCCTGATTCACTACTGGGTAAACAACAAAATTAAGGCAGAAATAAAGATGTTCTTTGAAACCAATAAGAACAAAGACTCAATGTACCAGAATCTCTGGGACACATTTAAAGCAGTGTGTAGAGAGAAATTTATAGCACTAAATGCCCACAAAAGAAAGCAGGAAAGATCTAAAATTGACACCCTAACATCACAATTAAAAGAACTAGAGAAGCAAGAGCAAACGCATTGAAAAGCTAGCAGAAGGCAAGAAATAACTAAGATCAGAGCAGAGCTGAAGGATATGGAGATACAAAAAAACCCTTCCGAAAAATCAATGAATCCAGGAGCTGGATTTTGAAAAGATCTACAAAATGGACCACTAGCAAGACTAATAAAGAAGAAAAGAGATAAGAATCAAAATAGACACAATAAAAAATGATAAAGGGGATATCACCACCGATCCCACAGAAATACAAACTACCATCACAGAATACTATAAACACCTCTACACAAATAAACTAGAAAATCTAGAAGAAATGGATAAATTCCTGGACACATACACACTCCCAAGACTAAACCAGGAAGAAGGTGAATCTCTGAATAGACTAATAACAGGTACTGAAACTGATGCAATAATTAATAGCCTACCAAACAAAAAGAGTCCAGGAGCAGATGGATTCACAGCCGAATTCTACCAGAGGTACAAAAAGGAGCTGGTACCATTCTTTCTGAAACTATTCCAATCAATAGAAAAAGAGGGAATCCTCCCTAATTCATTTTATGAGGCCAGCATCATCCTGATACAAAAGTCTGGCAGAGACACAACAAGAAAAAGAGAATTTTAGGCCAATATCCCTGATGAACATTGATGCAAAAATCCTCAATAAAATACTGGCAAACTGAATCCAGCAGCACATCAAAAAGCTTATCCACAACGATCAAGTCAGCTTCATCCCTGGGATGCAAGGCTGGTTCAACAAATGCAAATCACTAAACATCATCCATCACATAAACAGAACCAATGACAAAAACCACATGATTATCTCAATAGATGCAGAAAAGGCCTTTGAGAAAATTCAACAGCCTTTCATGCTAAAAACTCTCAATAAACTAGGTATTGATGAAATTATCTCAAAATAATAAGAGCTATTTATGACAAACCCACAGCCAATACCATACTGAATCGGCAAAAACTGGAAGTATTCCCTTTGAAAACTGGCACAAGACAAGGATGCCTTCCCTCACCACTGCTATTCAACATAGTGTTGGAAGTTCTGGCTAGGGCAATCAGGCAAGAGAAAGAAATTAAAGGTATTCAATTAGGAAAAGAGAAAGTCAAATTGTCTCTGTTTTCAGATGACATAATTGTATATTGAGAAAACCCCATTGTCTGAGCCCAAAATCTCCTTAAGCTGATAAGCAACTTCAGCAAAGTCTCAGCATACAAAATCAATGTGCAAAAATCACAAGCATTCCTATACACCAATAATAGGCAAACAGAGAGCCAAATCATGAGTGAACTCCCATTCACAATTACTACAAAGAGAATAAAATACCTAGGAATCCAAATTACAAGGGATGCGAAGGACCTCTTCAAGGAGAACTACAAACCATTGTTCAATGAAATAAAAGAGGACACAAACAAGTGGAAGAACATTCCATGCTCATGGATAGGAAGAATCAATATCATGAAAATGGCCATACTGCTCAAGGTAATTCATAGATTCAATGCTATCCCCATCAAGCTACCAATGACTTTCTTCACAGAATTAGAAAAAACTACTTTAAAGTTCATATGGAACCAAAAAAAGAGCCTGCATAGCCAAGACAATCCTAAGCAGAAAGAACAAAGCTGGAGGCATCATACTACCTGACTTCAAACTATAATTCAGGGTTACAGTAACCAAAACAGCATGGTACTTGTACCAAAACAGATATATAGACTAATGGAACAGAACAGGCCTCAGAAATAACACCACACGTCTACAACCATCTGATCTTTGACAAATCTGACAAAAACAAGCCATGGGGAAAGGATTCCCTATTTAATAAATGGTGTTGAGAAAACTGGCTAGCCACATGTAGAAAGCTGAAACTGGATCCCTTCCTTACACCTTATACAAAAATTAACTCAAGATGGATTAAAGACTTAAATGTAAGAACTAAAACCATAAAAACCCTAGAAGAAAACCTAGGCAATACCACTCAGGACATAGGCATGGGCAAAGACGTCATGACTAGAACACCAAAAGCAGTGGAAACAAAAGCCAAAATTGACAAATGGGATCTAATTAAACTAAAGAGCTTCTGCACAGCAAAAGAAACTACCATCAGGGTGAACAGGCAACCTACAGAATGGGAGAAAATTTTTGCAATCTACCCATCTGACAAAGGACTAATATCCAGAATCTACAAAGAACTTAAACAAATTTACAAGAAAAAAACAAACAACCCCATCAAAAAGTGGGGAAACGATATGAGCAGACACTTCTCAAAAGAAGACATTTATGCAGCCAACAGACACATGAAAAAATGCTCATTATCACTGGTCATCAGAGACATGCAAATCAAAACCACGATGAGATACCATCTCATGCCAATTAGAATGGCAATCACTAAAAAGTCAAGAAACAACAGGTGCTGGAGAGGATGTGGAGAAATAAGAACACTTTTACACTGTTGGTGGAAGTGTAAATTAGTTCAACCATTGTGGAAGATAGTGTGGCAATTCCTCAAGGATCTAGAACTAGAAATACCATTTGACCCAGTGATCTCATGACTGGGTATATACCCAAAGGATTTTTAATCATGCTACTATAAAGACATGTGCACATGTATGTTTATTGTGGCACTATTCACAATAGCAAAGACTTGGAACCAACCCAAATGTCCATCAGTGATAGACTGGATTAAGAAAATGTGGCACATATACCCCGTGGAATACTATGCAGCCATAAAAAATGATGAGTTCATGTCCTTTGCAGGGACATGGATGAAGCTGGAAACCACCATTCTAAGCAAACTATCACAAGGACAGAAAAGCAAACACTGCATGTTCTCACTCATAGATGGGAGTTGAACAATGAGAACACATGGACACAGGGCGGGGAACATCACACGGGGGCTTGTCGGGGGGTGGGGGGCTGTGGGAGGGATAGCATTGGAGAAATACCTAATGTAAATGACGAGTTGATGGGTGCAGCAAACCAACATGGCACATATATACCTATGTAACAAACCTGAACATTGTGCACATGTACCCTAGAACTTAAAGTATAATAGTAATAAAAAAAGAAAATAAATTTTGCTCACCCGGCCTGAAATTATGGCCAGATTTTTAAAAAATTACAGTGAAACATATACAACTAATTGATATTCTTCACCACATTAAAAAAAGCCATACAAATGAGATTCCTGTCACCATTTATTCAAAAAAC
The DNA here is from genome assembly GCF_000001405.40 of Homo sapiens. Classification (NCBI taxonomy): domain Eukaryota; kingdom Metazoa; phylum Chordata; class Mammalia; order Primates; family Hominidae; genus Homo; species Homo sapiens. The sequence goes on along the minus strand of NC_000004.12, from coordinate 86,407,759 downwards.
GTTTTCTTTCAATTATTTTATATTTTATTACATTTATACTTTAGTATCACTTTATTCTTTTTACAATTTATTTTTATCTTTTTACATTCACAAATTTTATAAACATTGAGTGCCTACTATGTGCTCAGACTGGGATCTAGAGATTAAGGAGCTCTAGCATTTAATAGGGAAGACAGACAGATGAACAGATATTTCAATATGCTAAGTGTAATTTGACAATACAGTGAAGTAGTTGACATCATAAACTCTCCTAACAGACCGACTGGATTCAAATTCTAGCCGTGCCTTTCATTCAGTGAATGACATTGGTAGACAAAATCTGTGAACCTCCCCACTCTGCACTCATCTTTTTTTCTCCTGTAAGTATGGAGAAATGCCTCTCTTTCCATTCGAGACTGAACCCTCCATATGTTCTCTTGATTGTATTTCCTCTGCCCATCTTCTCAGGAACATTTACTTCCTGAACCTTAGCTTCTTTTCAACAAAGTTGGGAGAATAATAGTACTTTTTTTAAAATAAGGATGTTCTAAATGTTAAACATAATAACACATGTCAAAGACTTAATACAAAGCCTGGCAAATAAGAAGTTCTAAAGAAATATTAGTATAGGGTAAATGCACCTTTTAGCAATAACTTAAGCTTACCTTAGAATGACCTTGTATGGCAGATGCACCTGAATGTGTGTTCTGAGCTAGAGAATCCAGGAGTGGCCATACCAGAGATTCATTCCTTGTCTATGAGGAACATGTGAGCCCCCATCCCATCCCGTGGAACATGGGTTGTGCAGGAGATTGAGGCCCTGAGTTCTGGAGTAAATGAAGATTGCCATGTGAAGGTCATTAAGGAGAGGTTGTTAAATGAAAATGTGTTGTTAACTACATGCTGTCGTAAGTGGTTGCAGTTTTCCTGCCCAGCCTGCCACCACTGGGCTGTGCAGTTGTCTTGTCCAGCCTGCTGCCACTGGACCATTTCTGTAATTAAGGCGGTTCTCCTGTCCAGCCTGTCACCACTGGACTCTTTCTGCTGTATGTAAGCCCCTAATTAAGCCCCATGTCTCTTTTGCTGGCCCTGGCTCTCTGGCCTCTTGAACCTGGTGCCTTTCCTATAGAGGTTAATAGGATTTCGGCATAATAGTTAGCTATAACTGTTTATGGCAGAGCTGTGTTCTGTGTTCAGTGCAGAGAACTGGAATTGAATTCAGTCCTTTTTTAATCTCCCATCTGACTGATTCCCACTAATACCTGGTGATTCATCTAACTCACCTCCTACACTGAGTTGGGTTAAAATGAGTCTCCACTATATTTGAGTAGCTTTGTGGGACTAGCCCTATTGTACAGAGTATTTAACATAAAGGGTTGTATCTTCTTGTTCATTTCCCTGTTTTTCTAACTATATCATAAGCTAGTGGTTCTTGGACTCTAGCTTGCAGCGGAATAACTGGTCTCAATTCCAGCGTTTCTAATTCAGTGAGTCTGCAATAGGACCTTGAGGATTTGCATTTCCTACAAGTCCCAGGTGAAGGTAGTCAAGGGGCCATATTTGATTAGCACTGCTGTAAGCTATTGGAAGGCTTATCCAACCAAACTTGCCATAGTGAAAGCCGAGGGACTCTGCTTTTTGTTGCCAGCAAAATTATTGTCCATATATAGGTCTCTCCTTTACCTGTATTCTTCTGAAAGGTCTAGCACTCATGGGTCCTCTCAGTCCTCTTACGTGATAGTCTTATATTAATCATTTACACCTTTGTGTAATCATAGCAGACAGTGCTCAGGTGGTTGCAGGTTTCTTTCTTACCTGTTTCTTCTATTTAGTCAGTTAAAAAGACGCCTGCAAATTGTAAAACACAACAAATATGTGAGTTACTGTAGTGTTTGGAAGAACAAGATGATGGATTCCAACACTTTCCTTCTAGACATTGAGCTAAAAGCATTAACTCACTCAATTCTCACAAGACAGCTATAAACAGAGATTCTACTCTTTGCTTATTACAGATGAGGAAATCTAGAAGTGATCATCTAGATCTTTGCCAGCTAAGGACTGTGTTGCTAGGAGTAGGTAAAAAAGAGTGATTGAGTCTGTGAAAAATACGATGCTCACATATTCTGTGGCTCTAAAAGTTGTATATATATGATATGTGTTAAAAATTACCTTTAATTGCCCAAATATTTGTGTGTAGACTTTCTAGTATGTTGAATATTTGAGAGCAATTTTATGTGTGTGTGTCAACACTGAAATTTGTATTTGGTTCCTTTAAGGTTGATAAGAATTCTGGGACTTTGAGTTTTCAAAATCAAATTATACTGGTACCTCTTTGGACTAACGTCAAATACTTTAGAGAATATACTGGAGATATTAATGTTCAACAGAACACAGCAAACTTTGTCTTTAACTCTTATTTGAGGTGTATAGCCAATTGTTACACAGCACTCATTATTATAGCATATTATACAGTAAATTCCTTTAGTTTTAACAACACATTCTGTTGCTATATAAAATTATATAAAATATGAGAGATCATCTTACCTATCATGATTATTGAGCTCAAAATTGGTTATGTCAGACCCAGAAATCAAGAACACCAGCTAGATTGATTCAAATAAGAAAGGCCTAGAGGAGACTAATCCAATCAGAGACATGGAACTCTGTGTTTGGAAACCATGATAGCAGACAGTAAGCAATTGAGTGTAGCTACTGCTACCTGCTAATACCTATAGAGTGCGCAGTATGTGTTGGGACTCATGCCAAACTCCTGGGATAATAGGATTATCTCATTTAGTCTATGTAAATCATTCTGTGAAGTAGATAATATCACTATTTCATTTCCTTATTCAAGGTTATGAGTTAGCAATTATATAATTATTATATTATGTTATATGTATTATAGCCTAGGGGTTTGAATCAGACTGCCTGTCTGCAAAGCAGGAGCCTCTAACTGCTATACAACTCTTACTGTCTACTAAGATAGAATTCGAAACCAAGACTCTCAACATCTGGGGCATATGGTTGCTGTTCCCTCAGGAATTTCTTTTAATGCTGTGAGACAAGATTTCTATGGATTTGCCCCTCTCTGCTTACAGACAATCTTCCTCTGAAATATTTTTGCTTTTCTTATTTTCAAAAGGGTGCTTAAAATGGTAGGATTGAATTGCCAGAACTCAACTTTAAAATTGAATTTAAAGGGACCACAATAAGGGTTATAAACAGTGATAAACCTCCACAGTACATAAAAATAAGAAAGCATCACTCTTAATGGATGATCTAAAAGTGGCATGAAGCAGTAGGCATTGGTAAGTACATTAGCATAGAGAGAGTCAATGAATCATGAATGAAGAGTAATAGAAGTCTGTAGTTCAAGAAAACAGTCCTATAATCTGTGCATTAAGCCTTAGGGAGTAATTTTCACAGGAACGGTTAATTGTAAGAGGAGATTTGAGAGCATGCACTGATATCAATTCTCTTCCTTTCCTCTCTTAAGTGTTGTACCATTCTCTCCCATGTCATTCAGATGAATATAGTTATTATGCACCCACTGTGTGAAAAACATTTCACTAGAAAAAAAAAAGAATATTGTTTAGGCTCTGAACTTTGAATCCTAAAACTTGACTAGGAATTCAAGAGAGACATAAAATAAATAGCTAATATAGGCTCTAATCTGGGGAGTTCACAATAGTCTACAACTAAGAATTGCAAGTTTGGACCTGACATCATGACAATATGATTATTACTTTGGTTTTTGGTATTGAATATGTCATAATGGTAAGTTTAACCTTGGGAGGGTAAACAAACATAATCAAGGAGATCGGAAGGGGGAGAAAAAGTGATTACTCAGGCTTCATATTAAAAAGTTAGGCAAAGGCTCTGATATGGTTTAGATCTGTGTCCCTACCGAAATCTTATCTCCGGTTGTAATGCCTACGTGTCAAGGGAGGGACCTGTAATCCCCATGTGTCAAGGGAGGGAGGTAATTGGATCATGGGGGCAGTTTTCCCCATGCTGTTCTCATGATAGTGAGTGAGTATCACGAGATCTGATGGTTTTATTAGCATCTGGCATTTCCCCTGCTTGCACTTCTCTCTCCTGCCGCCTGTGAAGAAGATCCTTGCTCCCCCTTTGTCTTCTGTCATGATTGTAAGTTTCCTGAGGCTTCTTCAGCCATGTGGAACTGTGAGCCAATTAAGCCTCTTTCCTTTATAAATTACCCAGTCTCAGGTTTTGTTGTTGTTTTTTGTGTGTGTGTGTGACAGACTCTCTCTCTGTTGCCCAGGCTGGAGTGCAGTGGTAAGTTGTACAATCTTAACTCACTGCAACCTCTGTCTCCCGGGTTCAAGCAATTCTCATGCCTCAGCCTCCTGAGTAGCTGGAATTACAGGCAGGTGCCACCACGCCCAGCTAATTTTTTGTATTTTTAGTAGAGATGGGATTTCACCACGTTGGCTAGACTGATCTTGAACTCCTGACCTCAGGTGATCCTCCCGCCTTGACTTCTCAAAGTGCTAGGATTAGACATGAGCCACCACACCTGGCCAGGTATTTCTTTATAGTAGTGTGAAAATGGACTAATACAGGCTCTAAGTCTTATAACCACTTTTCCCATATCATCCAGCACCAGGAACACATATGAAGCCATCACTATCTCTTGTTTCTGAATTACCAGAAAACCAAAATTGATTTAGTTCCTTTCTTCTTCTGACTCAACATTAACCACTTGATATTATATTTAACTGCTTCCTTAGCCTTAATTGTATCTTGTGTGCCATAGGATCTCACTATAGGTGTCAGCCATGACAATGTGATTGCAAAATTTCCAACTATAGGGAGTGCAGATTACCAAGGGTCCCAGATGCTGCTCTCTGAAATCCAATGTTGCATTTGAGCCCAGGCCATGCTTTCCGTGGGCTGCTTACAGCCCAGGGCTGACTGACAGAGATGCTAAGGCTGGCCTGTTTCTGGGATATCTGGACCAACTTTAGACTTGAGGCCACCGAATGGCCTTTTGAGTCTTCCTTAGACTGCACAGCAGTCTAGGAAGTTTCCATCCAAACTTTCTTCCCTTTCTCTTTCACTGAGGGTCAGGCTTATACCTCAATCAAATGGCTAGTCTTGCCTGGTTCCCTCCCTATTTTTTCTCACTTGGGTTTCTTTTAATGAAATCCTTAAATGTTTTATCCTGTCTTATCAACCTCTAAGAAAACCTGGAATAACATACTGCAATTATAAGGGATTTCCTCTTTAAAATCCCAAAGTTTCTGCTCACAGGTTTAGCAGCTGATTTTTAAAAATATCCTGGCCCATGAATTCTTTTATATTTTCTGCACTGATTGGACATATTTTAAAATAGCATTATAGGATAATCAAGTATGTTTCTGCTTCCATGTGAATTTGCCTATGTTAAAACTGAATTAGAGAGCCCGTGGTGATAAATGATATGATGCTGTATTTGGGGATTGCAGATGGCTTCAGACATGGTTGGGTCAAGACACTCAAACTCTTTTATCAGAATACCATCTCTGTCTTTCTCAATTCTGCTTTCCTTTGTGTTGGTTTGGTTTTATTCTAAAGCATATTTTCCCAGTGAAGTGAAAAAAAAAAAGTCCTCTTAGCAGCTCTAGACTTAGATTGTCTTACTGTGAACAATTTCCGTAAAATGAGAGCACTAGTTTCCTTTTTGTTCCAGCAGTCTTAGGTATGACCTTCCTTGTTTCAGCACAGGTCATGTGCTCATATGGAAGTAATTACTATGGCTGGGGGCGTAGGATGCTTTTTCAGTGAGGCTCTAGTCATGTGTCTACCCCTGGAGCTCTGACAGTAGAACATAGGGGAGGAGGAGGGATAGTTTCTCAAAGTTTCAAGATACTCCAAAATGGCAGCAGATATCCAATACTAGGGTTATGGACCTTCAGCACCACTGAAATACATATTTCAGTGGTTCTCTCTTTGGGAAGATAATAAGCCCTAATATTTGTAAACCAATTTGAAAACACTGTTACATAAATAATTTACTTTGAGTTTTACAACATCTTGTGAATATTTTATAAATGAGAAAATGGAAACTTTAAGAGATTTCTTTAGGGTCATATTAATTAAAACACATAAAATAGACATAGAGATTATAGAATTGTCTGCAGTGAATTTGAGTCATACATTAAGCTTCCAGGTGGCCAAAGTAAAAAGAGAAACATGATTAGAAAGAATAAAACATATCAGCTCCTAATGGGAAGTAAAGCTTTTCTGACTTTAAGATATGTAAGAAATTTATCTTGTGGCAGTTTGTATACAGTGCTTTTAGTTATCTCAAGAACATCTTTCTACCAATTGTAATTTTTAACACAATTTCCTACATTGCTTTTCAATGGAAGCGAAGAATCTAAAGTGCAAATCAGCAAAAGCTAATCCTAGTAGAGGATAGAATAATGAGGTTCAAACCATTATTGCTGATGCCTACTTGTATACCACATCATTTGTATACATAAAGGAAATAGAAATATATCACATCTTGTGTTTCTGTTCTAACGTAGAACAGAATATATTCTATATACAGGAGTCCAGTGATAAACTCCTTGGACACTTCAGCATTTTGTACCCATCAAATTGTGTTTTGACTCAAAATTTAGTTATTTTCCTGTAGTACATTGCTTTCAATATATTTTTAATCCTGTTAAAGGAACAGAGGCAAGTGGAAAATAAAAGTTCCACTTATAATGCATGTAGTTAGATATACTAAGACCACTAATTTGTAATTTTTTAAGTTACAATTTATTAACTGAGAAAATTGACCTCGTGACCCACATTTGATTTTGTCATTTATTTTTACTTTCCATGTTTATGTAAGCACACAATAAAAATCTTCTTGTATTTTTGGATTTAATAAAATTCTTTTAAAAATAAAAGAATAATGGCATACTTGTATTTCACTGAATAATTATATTTTATCAGTAGATCTCATAATTAAGCCTTTGAACTTTTGCCGTTAGGATGTCATTGAATTAGAAGTAATTGACTTCCAAAAAACTGCAAGGGAGTTAAACCAATATTGAACCCTTCTTTCAGAGGGCAGCGTCTGTTATATGTCAAGTAACATCTTATAGAATTATAAAGCTTGTTTTGATGTTTTATTTTTGTGAAAGATGTAAATTGATTCAAGTACATTTATTATAGAAAACAAGTTAGCTATCAACAATATCCTGGTTTGAGTGCACTAAACTGGGCTTTGGAACTAAAAGGCATTTTTTTATTCTTCTGTCATGTCTTTCTGGTAACTTACCATTCCAAATAAATTAAAACTCCCCATTACGTGGAGAGAGAGAGAGAAAGAGAGAGAGAGGGAGAGAGAGAAAGAGAGAGAGGAACCAGAAAAATCATTACGATCCCATGTACGTCACTATAGTAATGTTCTCAGGGTTTGAAAGATGTTGGCTTCCTTGTAATACGACACTTTATCTTGAGAAATGTATAAACATGGGTGTGGGAAAGAAATGCATCAGTGGAAGAGCAATAACACTCAGTAATTAAGAGAAAAAATAATCAGCATGTAATGTCAGAGAAGAGGTGAGCTTTTGTCAGAAACTTGTCTAACCCTAAGACATATCATTAAAAGTTCTAATGCAGTAGCAAAATAATGATAGTTTAGCAGGAACTTTATATGTGATATGACCATAAAATGTGAAAAATATATTTGTATATCTGCATGATAAATGTGTAATTTATATTTGTATGTATTAGCAACATATACCACAAAAGAAAGCTTCAGCGGCATCATGTTTTCAAGGTAATGGTTTCCCATACCAATTTATATCTCATGTAAGGGAATTTTTCTATAGGAAGTAGATAATTCTATGTCTATTATAGAAAACTTAAAATAAATGTATTTTTAGTCATTATCAAGTTTTCATTCTTTTCTAATATTGCTAAGCAGAATTACTAACTGTTTCCTCCTCTATGTTCTCCTTGCACTAGGTTCAAACCACTAGGACAGCATTTGCCACATTATTGTTCCACTAATGAACCACCTCAGTGGTAAGGATATTAATATCAGAGGTTTTCTTGCTCATCTTGTATTCCCAGTGCCTGTTAAGAGTGCCAGATGCACATTAGGTGCTCAGTAGTGAGTTTGTTGCATGAACCAGTTGATAAAGTCACATTGGGTGTAGATTATAGCTGCAATTCTTGCCCTCAAAATGGTCATAATATAAAAGTAGACAGCTTCTGCACAGCAAAAGAAAGATCAACAGAATAAACAGACAACCTACAGAATGGGAGAAAATATTCTAATATCCAGAATCTATAAGAACTTGACAAACAAAAAACAAATAACCCTACTAAAAAGTGGGCAAAAGACATAAGCAGTTACTTTTCAAAAGAAGACATACAAGTGGCTGAGAAACATATGAAAATAAGCTCAACATCATTAGTCATCAGAGAAATGAAAATCAAAACCATAATGAAGTACCATCTCACACCAGTCAGAACAGCTTTTATTAAAGACTCAAAATCAACAGATGTTGGCGAGGCTGTGGAGGAAAGGGAATGCTTATACACTGTAGGTGGGAATGTAAATTAGTTCAGCCACTGTGGAAAACGGTTTAGAGATTTCTCAAAGAACTGAAAACAGAACTACTATTTAACCCAGCAATCCCATTACTGGATATGTATCCAAAAGAAAAGAAATTTTTCTACCAAAAAGACATACGCATGTGTGTGTTCGTTGCAGCAGTATCCACAATAGCAAAGACAGAATCAACCCAGGTGCCCAGCATCGGTGGACTGGATAATGAAAATGTGGTACCTATGCACCATGGAATACTATGTAGCCATAAAAAAGAACAAAGTCATGTCCTTTGCAACAAAATGGATGTACTGGAGGCCATTATCCTAAGTGAATTAATGTAGGAACAGAAAACTAAATGCTGCATATTCTCACTCATAAATGGGAGCTAAATATTGGGTACTTATAGACATAAAGATGGTAGCAATAGACACTGGGGACTACTGTCAGGGAGGAAGAGAGGGACGCAAGGGTTGTAAAACTAACTATTGGGTGCTGTGCTCACTACCTGGGTGACAGGATCAATTTTACCCTAAATTTCAGCATCACGCAATGTACCCCTGTAACAAACCTGCACATGTACCACCTGAATCTAAAATAAAAGTCTAAATTATTAAGAAAAATAACAAGGTACATTAATATTGTAAGAAAAATGTGCGGTAAGTAAGAATCTTTTGACTTGAATTCATCCTTAAGAGAGGCAGGGCAGTGCATGGACTCTGCAGACATAATATTTGGGTTTGGTCTCAGCTCTGTTATTTACTAGCAGCCTGACTGCAGAAAAGGAATTTTACTTTGTGGGTTTCAGTTTCAGTCATTTTAAAGAGGACTTTGATAATAATACTATCTAGCATAGAGTTGTTATGAATGCAAATGAGTTGGTTCCCTTAGAACCCTGAAAGTAGCATCTGACCTAAAATAAATACTTAGTGATAATTATCTACCAGATCCTTGGGCCTTTTTTCTTTTCTTTTCTTTTCTTTTTTTTTTTGTTTGTTTGTTTTTGAGAATCTTTAGAAATACTAATTATGGGCATTTTTACCCAAAATTAAATTTTAGTGTTTCTTCATTACCTGAAGAACAAAGTTTTTGTTGTGTGGTCTGTCTGTCTGCCTGCCTGTGCGCCTGTCTCTTCTCACCCTCTATCTCCCCAGAACTGAGTTGAAGACTAGTGTTAGGAGTCGTGATAGTTTGGGATACAGATAGAGTGGAAAGTAGGTAGTTCAAAAGTTTCAGAGTATTGCATGTTACGAGTTCTCTGTACCCACTTCTTAAAAAAGAATCATATTTTCTACATGGCAATTGATTGGAACAGAGAAAAAGCCAGTTTTTTTTTTTTTTTTTTTTTTTTTTGCCATAGCAGATTCAGAGCTTACGTAATGATCTGGGAAATTCATTTGGAAAACTGAAATCACAAACTAGTTCCATCTTTCCTTATCATTGGATATCAGAATAAATTTGAATAGATTGAGTGCAAAGGCTAAGGGTCAAATAAATACCTATTAACATACAGAAAAAGGCAGAATGATAGGTGCAAGAACAAGGGTATTGCCCAGGGAGGAAATGGTAGGTGGAGTCAATCAGTGGGGAAAGAAGGGATCTCACACCCGGAAGCCCAGGGGAAGTTAACAAGCACTCCTGGGAGTTCTCAATGCTTTGAGAAGGGCAAAGATGCCAACAACCATTTCTCTCTTCTTCAAAGATGTTTGGAAATCTTTAAAATGGGATATTTAACCATCTGTCTTAAAGTACTCTCTATCCCTTGGCAATACTACATGAAATATGTAGTTGTAATGTGGCCACATTTTCTTCACCAGAATCTTTTGCAATAGTCAGACTCCATGGAGTAGAGATATCCATCTATCTGTAACACACTTGAAGGAGAAATTGATAAAGGTAACAATATAAAGGTTTCATTAAGAATGACTAAATTCACCTCATAGATTGAGAACCTGACGCAGGTTCTCAATAAGTTAGACCAACCACACAGGGTGCTTCTTAATTTATAATTTCTTCTCACTGAGGAATCAATAAATATTTTAGATGTGCTTAATAAAAATATTTCTTTCCTGATCTGTTTCCAGAGCATCTTCTCTTTCTATTATGTGTTCATCTTTTTTTTTCTACCTCATTCTGTTCATGCTCTAGGCTGGTAGCACTGTCCCATAAAAATATAATGTGGGCCACAAGGTGAACCACATATGTAATTTTAATTTCTAGTAACCACATTAAAAAGTAAATAGGTGAAATTAATTTTAGTAGTGTGTACACTTAACTCAAACTGTAATAATTTTAATATGAAATCAATATAAAAATTACTAGTAAGTGTTATAGTTTGCTCACATCTCATGTTGAAATGTTATTCCCGTGTTGACGGTGGGCTTAGTAGGAGGTGTTTAGGTCATGAGAGTGGATCCCTCATGACTTGGTGCTGTTCTCACAATAGTGTGTTGTTTAAAATTATGTGGCACCCCCCACCCCTTGCTCCAGCATTTGCTATGTGACATACCTGTTCCCGTTTCGCCTTCTCTCATGAATAAAAGCTCCTTCCCAGAAGCGGAGCAGATGCTGGCGCCATGTTTCTGTACAGCCTGCAGAACTGTGAGCCAATTAAATCTCTTTTCTTTATAAATTACTCAGTCTCAAGTATTTCCTTATAGTAATGCAAGAATGGCCTAATATAATATGCTAGTTTACATTTTTTTGGTACTAAGTTCTGAAAATACAGAGTGTATTTTACACATAGTTTATCTCAATTTGGACTATCCCCATTTGAAGTGCTCAACAGCCACCTGTGGCTAGTGGCTATGGTATTGGGTGGAAGAGCTTTAGGTCTTCTCTGTTGGAAACGCTACTTTCTTTCTTTTTTTTGAGACAGAGTCTCGCACTCTTGCCCAGGCTGGAGTGCAGTGGCACGATCTCGGCTCACTGCAAGCTCCGCCTCCTGGGTTCGCGCCATTCTCCTGCCTCAGCCTCCCGAGTAGCTGAGACTACAGGCGCCCGCCACCAGGCCTGGCTAATTTTTTGTATTTTTAGTAGAGACGGGCTTTCACCATGTTAGCCAGGATGGTCTCGATCTCCTGGCCTCAGGTGATCCACCCGCCTCGGCCTCCCAAAGTGCTGGGATTACAGGCGTGAGCCACCTCGCCCGGCCGGAAACACTACTTTCTTAGGTTCACGTAAAAAAGGCTCCTGCCTGCACAGATAGAATGGCGAGAATGGTGTGTTTTATGTGGTACAAACCGAATGCTTGTGTCTTCCCAAAATTCGTATGTTGAAACATTAATCCCCAAAGTGTGCCTTAGGAGGCAGGGCCCTTGGGAGATCATTAAGTTTAGATGAGGCCATAAGGGTGGAGCCCCCATGATGGGACTAGTGCTCATACAGGATGAGGAAGAGACACCAGGGCTTCCTTTCTCTGCCCTTTGAGAACACAGTGGGAAGCAGCCCTCTGCAAGCCAGGAAGAGAACCCTCACCAGTAATGAAATCTGCCAGCACCTTGATCTTGGGCTCTGCAGCTTCTAGAACTTTGAGAAATGAATATCTCTCCTTTAAGCCACCAGTCTATAATATTCTGTTATAGCAGCCCAGGCTGACCAAGACATTGTGTAGGATTATCTCCACTCCCCTGGCAACCTCTCCTCACTCCAGCCACAACTCCCTCCGCCCCAAAAACTATCAATACCTGGTGATTGATTGCTGAACCATTTTATTATAATGATTCAGTTACATCATGCATTCTTTTGCTCCTCTTGGCATTTTTGATATTAATATTTCTTAATTCTTAGATGCTACATGAAAGCATGATTTTAGAAAATGTTGACACATGTTAGCTAACACATTAATCAAAATGGCTAGCTAAAAAATAGGAATTATAAGGAGAAAATGTTTATTTTATAGCTAGAGATTAATTTTGGTTAGTTGTCCAAATATAAGGCAGTTGAATTTTTATATACACTAAATAGTAACCAATAAATATGAATTTTGACCTTAGCTATAATATTAATGATACCTTCTTTTTTGGTATGATTATAAAACAAAGGTAACATCCTTTGCTTTTGTATGCAAGTCTGAGCTTATAGTACCCTTTGGCCCCAAATAGCTTTATGGAATATTGAAGGCTGCAATGACATACTGGGGTTTTTATTGACTCAATACTGTGAATGAGTGTACATGGAGCTGTTTCCCAGAAGTGGTGGAAGATTTACATGCCTTTTTATTTTGGAGAGCAACGTTTCCCCACAGATGGTGAAAGAATGGGCACAGGTGCGTGAATATATTGATACCCTCAGCCGCTAGAGCAGCTGAGTTTTGCCAGGGGGTGGCCCAGAACCTTTGGCTGTCACTTCAGCTAGGAGCAACCTCATCCATTATCCCCGAGCATAGTGCAAACATTGTTCCCTATATGAGCCAAGATTTGCTAACGTTTGGAAAACTCTGTCATTGTAGATCCAAATCTCACTTCACTTTTTAAAATAAATGAGATCCTACTCAAGATAGAAAGCATGCTAAAATGTCTGTCATTTATGGTATTTTCCCTGACATCCCTTTCCACGAGTCATTGTATCTTCCGAGTTTTCAGGTTTCCAAGTGAACTTTATCTTCTTCTTCTCCTTAAACCTATTAAATAAATGTTTCTCAGCTGAAAAAAATCCCATACCACTGTTAATAATTAAAAATTATTTTAAATATTATTTGTAGCAAAAAACAATTTGGAGCTAACAAAAATTAATTTAAACAAAGGGTAAATAATTATTTTATTTTCAAGATATATATGTTTTCTCAGTTTTGATATGTAGTTTGGTGATATAGTCTCTCTAAAAAATCACTGACAATAGCTTTCATTCTGAAATATTGGTAAGTCAAGTATGACATATTTTTATTTGCTCAAGAGGAATAAGTTTGAGTATTATCAATTCTTCTTTCTTTCTTTCTTTCTTTTTTTTTTGAAATGGAGTCTTGCTGTGTTGCCCAGGCTGGAGTGCAATGGCGCGATCTGGGCTCACTGCAACCTCTGCCTCCTGGGTTCAAGCAATTCTCCTGCCTCAGCCTCCCAAGTAGCTGGGATTACAGGTGCATGCCACCAAGCCTGGCTAATTTGTGTTTTTAGTAAAGATGGGGTTTCACTATGTTGGCCAGGCTGGTCTTGAACTCCTGACCTCAGGTGATCCGCCTACCTCGGCCTCCCAAAGTGCTGGGATTACAAGTTTGAGCCACCACGCCCAGCCCCTATTTCTTATTAGTCATCTGATGTTCTCTTTCTTCACCAATGTGTTTAAGTGTTATGCTCTTAATGTTGCAATAACAGAGTAGGTCTTTAATACTCTTAAAGAGGTACTTCACCTTATGTGATTTAGTGAGACATGCAGAAGGTGAAGAAGACACTCAAGGTCAGGGAGAGAGTTACTGTGGAACTTCAAGTCAGGTCTCTATTGTTGTCACTGGTGTCGTGGAGAGACTTTCAAGCTTGCTTTCATTTTTTATTATTCTACTAAGTACCCTTTACCCACAGATATAGTGACAGTACCTCACCAGAATTTAAATAAAGGATGCTCTGGTTAGCATCACAACATAGAATTGTCTTTTTAAAAAAAGCTAAAAATATTACTTGATTTCTTCAGAAAAAACATTGTAGTTTAGTGCCACAAAGCTGTAGTGGCAGTATGTAAAATATTCAGTTTGTCAATGCTTGCCTGGTAATGGTTCCATTAGAAACATTGCTTTATTTTTGATCACAAACATTGAGTTACAAGTAAACATGAATATTTTTCTAGATTTATTAAAAAATGGAAGGACTGTCAATGTATAATCAAGTTTCTTGATTCTTTAATAGACTTTTTCTTTTTGTTTACAATAGTTATTTTCCTTAAAAAAAAAAAAACTAGATCATTGATTTGATATAGAAGTGGAAATTGCAAGAAAAGAACTTAGATGGCCAAAAATTGAGTTGAATTTGTTGAAATAAATATCAACATGCTATACTGGATATGCATCTTAACCTTCTAATTGAAGTTATGCTTGGGGGTAAAAACCGTTCCTTTTATTTTTTCTCTTGAGGACAAGTCAAGATATGCCTGTTTTTATCAATACATTTAAATTTGATCTCCACATAAAGCATTTAGATGCATTTGTATAATCCTCATTAAATCTGGCAAGTGTGCTCTGCCTCAAAGCCAGCCTCTGCAAGAAGTTACATTCAAGGACATAAGTATGACTCCAGAAGCCTTGAAGAATAATATATAGAATTTTAGGTTATATTTCCTTCTGTAAGGAAAACTATATGCAGCTTATCATAGAGCAAACTTCCTAACAGTTCTCTTTATACCTCTCTCCATCTCCCCAAAGTCTTGCACTCATAACAGCTGCTAAAAATCTCTCCTGTACTCCTACGCAGTCTCCTCACCAACACACAGTCACCAGCCACTTCCTCCTTATCCCTCTCCTTTTCCAAGCCATCTTGGCTCTTCCTGCTGCTTGCAGCATTTTTTTCAGTCATTCAGCAAGTATTTATTGAGCACCTTTTATGTATCTGACACTATCCTTAGTACTGAGGATAGAATGGAACACTATAATCTCCACTTGATCTGCTAGTCTGCTCCTTTTTTTTTTCTTTTTTGTTTGCCGGAACAGGCAGGTTAGAAAAGATACAACTCAAAATAGCTTAGTAAAAAGGGAAAAAGTACTGTGATGGCTTATGTAACTGAACAGGTGTGTCTTGGTTCAGAACTCAGAGTCCGCTATTTTTCTACTCTGAATCCTCTTTTTTTTTTTTTTTTTGAGACAGTTTCACTCTGTCGCCCAGGCTAGAGTGCAATGGTGTGATTTCGGCTCACTGCAACAACCTCCACCTCCTGGGCTCAAGCGATTCTCCTGCTTCAGCCTCCTGAATAGCTGGGACTACAGGTGTGCGCCAGCGTGACCAGCTAATTTTTGTATTTTTAGTAGAGATGGAGTTTCACCACATTGGCCAGGCTGGTGTCGAACTCCTGACCTCAGGCGATCCGCCTGCCTTGGCCTCCCAAAGTGCTGGGATTACAGGTGTGAGCCACTGCGCCTGGCCATACGCTGAATCCTCTTGATAGGCTTCATTTTCTGACTCTGCCAGCTGTCCTTGCAGAGTTCCAGGCTCACAGCATGATAACACCCGATCCAGTGTAAGAGATACTCCACTTCCAGCCTGCTGCAGAGGGAATTTTAGAATTGAGCTTATTGGTCCTGATTAGCCTGACTTATAGGTCTAATACTCAATCCTGAAATTGCCACTGTGGCCAGGGAAGGGAATGTACTGCTAAACCTGTGGTGGGCTTCAATCCTGGATCCCTAAGGTAGAGATAATTTTACTTGAAGCAATTGGCCTGAGAATGTGAAAGGGCTATTTGTCCTGGAAGGAAGTAAGTGTGAATGCATGCTGGGTAATCAAAAGACAATGGTTCACGTCACTTGTTTTAGTACTATTTCTCTGCAGGATCCAACCTCCCCTCCTCATGCTAACAAGTGATATCTGTCTTGTTGCATATGAATTATTAGCTTTATCTGTGTAATCTCAGAGTCAATGCAGGAATTTCATGTCCTAGATGAAGGATTCTTGCCTTCACTTGAGTGTCCCCAGAGATAGAGAGCTCACTGCCTGGCGAGGTATGCTGCCCCTTGTCTCTATATGCCATAGAATCAGGTCTCTGATTCATTTTCCACTCCACACTTGGCTTGATATGGAGTGACAAAAAATTCATGAATGCTTAGAATTGATGGTTCTATTATTCTTCAATCATGGTACAGTTAAAAACGTTGCATGTAGATACATGCATGATATGACAAGACTGAACTACTCTGACTTGTATGACCACAAGGTAAAAATCTAAAGTATTAAAGGATTTTGTTTCCATTTGCTCTAATCTTAAAGAAAAAATTTTCAAGGAAAGCTTTTTACTCTGATTGGAGTGGTGATCTATGATAATACTTACAGAGGCTTGCATTCTGGTAACATGCAAATTTGAGAACTTCAAATATAATTTTATGTACTAAACCTGTGCTTACAGAAGAAGCTGTTAAATATACAACTAGGATTGAATGTAAATGATGCATCTTTAGTTTCATCTTCCTCAATTTCATAACTGATTTTTGTGTAGCTTTCATATCTGAAAATGAGTACAAATATGGAGAAAATAAAAGGATCTTTCCTAAACAATATTCTAACATTTTTAAAAAGGTTGCACTGGTAATGCAAACAGATAAAGTAATGAAACTTCTCAGATAGCAATTATGTGGCACAGGCTCTGAGAGCTAATCTCTCAAAGAGTCAAGCCTAGTAAGATACCAGAGATAATATCTACATGGACAGAAGATTGATAGCTTCTTTGACAAGAGCAAATATATTGCTTTGGGCTTAAAGCTCAGCACCTTCCCACAAGCCCTTAGCATTCATGATCCACTCCACACAGACCTTCACGATTGGATGTGTACTGTCCTCCTAGGAAATCCTATAGGCTAAGTTGGACATAAAAGGGTGATGTGTGGGTTCCCTCTCTCTTGTACCCATATCTGGGCATGTATCTATTATCCTCAACAACTCTCAAAGTGCCAGTCAATCAAAACATAGGCACCTCTATCTTGCTGGCAGTCTCTTCTAGCTCCTTTAGCTTTCTCAGACTTGAGGAAGGCACACATGTCTCCAACTGCAGAAAACATATTTGAAGCTTTCTAAGTGCTCTCATGGAAGCCCCTACCCTAGCTCAAAGTAGAGGTAGCATCCTGCCCAAGTTGCTTGGGGGAAGGGGAGGGTATGGAACTATAGTTCTCATCAATTCTCTTCTTTCTCTACATTCTAAGGTGTCAAAAGTGTTGCAAAGCTGTTTTGAAAATTCTGCCTTTTATTTTGGCATCTCATAGGATCAAGTGCAGTAGTTTTCAATCCTATCCAACCCAATAGACTTTTTAAATAATATCTTTTTATCATCTTCCTTTTCTACCATTGAATAAAACTCATAGAAATACAATCTACCTGCATATATGATTTTAAAGAATCAATATAATACCTAAACTGTGAAATAAGAGAGAAATAAAATTTTATGTATGTAGTAAAATGATATGCATTTCAGTATTTAAATACTCAGCATGGCTCCACTGGAAAAGAAAAGGAAAGAGGCAGATGCTTGTCCTTACTTGGAATGAATAAATTTAGATTTAGGAAAAGGCAATATTTAGTTGATGGTCAATCCTTCTTCTCTATAATTATTATTTTAAAACAAGCGACAAATAAATGTATTTGTAGTTGGATAGATGGGGGCAGAGAGAGAGGGAGGTTCTTTCAACATGAATTCAACAGCTATAAATGCAGACTCATCTGTTTGAAATATTAGCAATTCAAATCCCACAAGTGATACTGCTTTTAGTAACATACTCTGAACTTCTTACTAACTCCCAGTACCTCCACAAAGAAAATAAAGCATCATACAATATTTCCTCTACTATACAGTAGTCAGAATCCTAGAAAATTTGATATATATGAAAACTATGACAAAATGTGAAGGTTTGTCATGTGTTGGATATTATAAAATTGCACAAAACACAGGACAATTCTTCATTCTGTGGGGCTGTACTACACATTTCACAACACCCAGTCCCCTTGGTCCCAACTTATAGTTGGACCGCCAATCACAGTAACAGTCAGTAAAGGCAAAAAAACAGAAGATAAACAATAAACTCTAAAAACTATCCCGTAGGGGAGTGTGGCATGCTCCCTTTCATTGAGAATTACTAATTTATTGTCTCATGATGGCTAGGACAAAGTTAAATGTTATACAGTAGTATTATTAAGTTTATTACAAAGATCATATTGTATTAATCCATTTTTGCACTGCTATAAGAAAATACCTGAGACTGGGTAATTTATAATGAAAATAGGTTTAGTTGGCTCATGGTTCTGCAGGCTGTACGGGCAGCATGGCAGGATCTGCATCTGGGGAGGCCTTAGGAAACTCACAATCATGGTGGAAGGCAAAGGGGGAGTGAGCATATCTTACATGACCAGGGCAGGAGCAAGAGGGTGGGGGGAGCTGCTACACACTTTTAAACAACCAGATCTTGTGAGAACTCCAGCAGGAGAACAGCACCAAAGCGGGAGATCCAGCCCCATGATCCAATCATCTCCCACCAGGTCCCACCTCCAACACTGGGGATTATCATTCGACATGAGATTTGCGTGGGGACACAAATCTGAACCATATCACATATTGAATGCTATCTGCCAGTTTTTGCATTAAAAACATTACATATATTATTTTGTTTTATTCATTTATTAATTCATTTGCTTATTCACTTAACAAATATTTATTATGTGCCACTTTGTGGTAGGCAGTGTTCTTTGAGCTAGAAATAAGAGATGACCTATTGTGTTGAGTACATTTCATGCATCTGTGTTTCCTTTTGAAACAAATATCATGGATATAATTTCTATTATTTATTAATATTGATTTTTATATGTATGTTTATGCTATATATTAAGGTTACATAAAGTGATTTGGATATAGTCATTTTTACATGGATTCAATCGCCATCCTTGAATTAACTTGTTATACAATAACAGTGAAGTACAAAAGTAAGTCAGCTAAGGTTTTGTGACATCAAGCCAGTGGTCAGGATTTCTAGAAGCAGCAAGCTACAGATACTTGTTTCTTGCCCTTTTAACTCAAGTTCCCATAAGGAGCAGTAAATAAAAGTCATCTTATGTATGATTAGGCATATTACTGAATTGACACTGAGGTATCTGCTGGGTTCTTCTTGTGTTTGCTTTTATATTTACTGTACTTGGTTATTAATATTTTTCAGTTATTAATTTTAGAGTTATATGAAATAAGTTACTACTCAAACATTTTTATATCCTTAGTCACAACTATAAAATATATGAATGTTTACTGACAAACGATAAGTAATATATAATGCCATGTAATATCATGGAAAGTTTTATGTAAGCCACGTGTATATTTTATATATATTCTCTCTCTCTCTCACACAGACACATACATGCACACACACACATTTTTTTCCTAAACCTTTTGAAGTAAATTACAACTTACATCACAGATTGTGGTTCTTTAAGTATTCAGTGTGGATTTTCTAACCCGATTACAGTACAGTTATCAACTTCTTAAATTTACATTGATAATCTCCCATTTGTTTAGTACTTTTATTGTTTTTTATATTTTTATTATATATTTGATAAATATTTTTATAAATATTATATATTATTTTTTCTGGATACTTTTGTATATATTTTTAAAATAGTTTTTAAAGAGACAACTTTCTAGCTACTCTAAGTAACTGTCTTAAAGCCATTAGTTATACTCAAGTAGTAATAGTATTTCATATAAATCAGCACCAGATAGATCCAGTTAAAACATAAACAACTGATAGGAGGAGGAGGGCTAAAAAACCTGGAAAAAAGACTCACTACTTGAAAAAAACGTCAGTTCAGTTTACTCTTTCCATATTGACAGGTCCTTCATTGCTGTCTTTTTTCTTCTGCCACACAAGGAGAATGAAAATAATAGCTTCCAAACAACCAAGGCAACCAAGGCTTTCCCTTCACTTCTTTTGAATAATGTACAGACATTGAATAGAGGTGCGGTGAGGCAGCGTCAGCTATTAAGAGTTAAGTGGTCAGGGACTTGCTCCAGTCCAAGCCTGGATGTTGAGGAAAAATAAACATCAGGAAATGTGTTTTATAATTCAAGATTCTGGGTGAATTGATAAATATTATGCCTTGCACAACCTAAATAGTTGTTTATTATAAAAGGAAGCTCTAATTTCCTGTTTAATGTAAAAACTTGATTATTTTGAGTTTTATAGTTGGCTGTTTTTACTGAGTATATTTTAGTAATAGTGCAGAAAATCATTGGCAAAATTAAATCAGGCAATGATTTTTCTTATTCAAGTAAAATGTGCTTCCGTTGTGCTCTTGGGCTTGAAGGACATCCTCCCTATCTGAGACAATCATCATTGCCCACTTCCCCAAACAACCAGCCGTAACGTGACCAGCTCCCTGTGCCCCTCCGGCTGCTTCATTTCCAGCCATGAAGTGCATAATAAAATATGCTGCAGCCATTTTCAAGCCAGATTAGCGTTTTTCTCCAGAATTTGTCTTTTCCATAGACTTCTGTTCTAACTACTCATTTCCATCTCCTTGATTTTTATCCTGTTGGTGTCTTGCCCAGATTTTTTTCTTTCTGTACACTCTTTAAATTGAATAGTATTTTTAGACAGCCTACTCAGCCTCTCTACCACAGTCTTGAGGCATATGATGTTCCACATTCGACCCAGTTTCCAAAGATATCCTAGCCCAATCTTGATCTCAGAGCCCCAGATCATTCTGTTATTTTATCTGAAAAGTGGGCACTGGATGGCCAAGATGTAAGCCTCCAAGTTTCCGCCTGTAGTATACTAAGGCTTTTTGTGGGCAGAGAACTTAAATTTGTAGAATCAGCCTTTTGTGTTAATCTCTACAGTTGCTCAAGAAATATTTGCTAAGCATTTACAGAGAATCAGACATTGTGTTATGTGTTAGAGTTTCAAGGGGGCCAGTAAATAGGACCTTTCCCCCTGCTGTGCCTGGAATCTCAATAATTTAAGAAAAAAAAAACTCTGAAAAGCAGATGGAAGCAAAATATCATCTCTATCATTTATAGATCAAGATTAGAGTCATAGATTCATGAGAGACCCAAGCGAACCAATGAACCAACTCTCAGAATTAGGAAGACCTACCCATGTGGTCCCTGCAGTCCTGGACTAGGGCAGGCAGATCTTTTCTCCACAGGGATTTAGGCTCTAGAGGTGAAGGGAGATACTTCCTGCTGTGGGCAGGCAACTCCCAAGAGGGAGTATGGTACACCTGAGCATTCCTGCTAACTTTTCTCAAGCTTCCACTTCTCTTCCCCAGGGAAGAGTGAGTAAATGGACAGAGAGATGCTAGAAGTATGCTTAGCGAATCGTATCTCCAATGTCAACCAGGAGCGGAGTATCGCAATTCTCTTCTAACAGAATGTACTAGAGATGTAGTGTTGTGTAGACATGATTCCCCCCCATTTCCCTCCGAATGGAGTTCGTAATCAGGTGGGAGAAGGCACATTTTAAACACGTAATTAGAAATGATGAAGAAGGATGCAATTCTTTTGTACATTGTACTTTCAGGGGGCAGATCTTGGACGATAAATTGCATGTCTTTTAAATAATTTTTTTTATGAGTCACAGAGTTTTCTTTACCTGGCTAAGACTGGATAAATACTACAGTACTAGGGTTTTCTTTCTGTGTGTATGCATGTGTGCTATAGTCTAACCACCTTCTTGCTAGTCATAGTCTTTGTTTACATTAGACACAATACAATTAATTGTTTCACTTCACTAAATTATAGTCAATTTTCAGCCTGACATCATAGAGATTATACCCAGGTAATTTTAATGGAGTGTTGGGTGTTCCAAATTCTTTGGTTTTGCATCTACAGGGAATCTTTTGATTTACCCATCCGGGAGCTAATCGTATTCATTCTGTGTGGATTTTTACAAGTTTAAACCTCAGATTTGTTTTCTTCATTTTAAAATTCTTGGGAAGTGATTTGTGGAACCCAAATAGATGTTCAGAAATAACCATTCTTTATCAGTTCATATTAAAGATATATGATTAATTTATAAAGGACCAATGATTACATAGTTTATATTTTAAAGAAAAAGAAATATGTATAAGAAATGTTAGCAAAGCAGTGAGATGAGAGAAAGAACACTGTTAAAGTCAACCACAGAGTGTTTTTGAAATTTCACTACATGTAAAGAATTCCTTTGGAAAGGTTATGCCATTTCTAATGCCAAGTTTTGCCTCATTAAACTTTTAAATGGTAAATTAACAATGGTTGTTAAATTGCTAACTGGCAAAAATAACCAGCAATGGTTGGTAAACTAAAATAGTTGAATAACAAGTAGGAATTTGCCAATTCTTTCCCCAGTAGCTAGTCAATAAATTGGCAATATTATTATTTATTAATTATTTATTTTATTTTCATTGAAATTTATTTTATTTTCTAAAACTGAGAAAGATATGTAGTAAAGGAATGGTAAATGAAGGGCAAAGTATGAAAAAAAGTGTTTTCTGTACTTTTAACATCCTCAATAAACCTACTATGCTAATGCTATGCCCAAGAGCATTATATATATAAGAAAACAATTTAGGTGTAATTAAATGTATCATATCTGTTTAGATATATCTAAATGCATCATATCTGTTTAGATATATTATATTTAAATGTATCATATCTGTTTAGATGTACTATATCTGTTTTTTCCTTTTTCTCTCTAGTTTAGATGAAAGTTGTTAAAACTTTAGTTGTATTCTTTCAATATAGCTGTGTACTACTTAATTTCTTGCTCTACTAAAATGTTGCAAACAGAGTTGTCATAATTTCTGTGAAATATCATAAATAAAACACTTTTGTCAGCTTGTACATCTAATCCTACAGTTGGCAAATCTGTCGTCTCCACATTGAAAGCATATTCTGAGTGCAGCCGCTTCTCTTTTTATCTGCCCCTGCTGTCCTCCTCTAATGTAATGATCATCTCTTGCCTCAGCTGATGTCCTAATTTGTGTCCTTGCCTCCACTGTTTCCACCTAGACTCTAGTCTGCACATGCCTTCTGCTCCCAGAGTGGTCCTAGTGTAAATCAGGCTCGCTTTCCGCACTTCATAGCTTCCCACTACATAGAATAAAGTTCGGGGGAGTCCTTACCAAGCCTTCTGGCTACCCTATGGGCCTCACTTCCTACCATTCTCCCATCCATCGCTGGCCTTCTTGCTGTTTGTTTGAGTACACTACACTCTGTCCCATCTCAGCGTTCTTGTACTTGCTATTATCTTTGCCCTGAATACACAAACCTTTCTGTTTAAATTTATTTAAATTTATTTTGTGCCTGAAAACTTATATAGCAGGGACTTGTTCTTGCAGTTTTTCCAGTTCCTGGTGTAGCACCTGGCACACAGATGGCACTCTAAAGTTTATAAATGAATAATGTCTGATGAAAACATCAAAGCTACTTTCTAGATTTGTGGAGATTGCCCAGATAAATGAAGTCACGGTAAAAGGTAAGGAGAGATTTTATGTTTCTCCAACACTTGTAATATTTAAATGTTCTGTAGAAACTATTGAGTACAAACTAGTCTATTAGGCTTCGAAATGTAGGATGAAAGAAATGATATGTCTTCTGAGAGATCGAAGAATGAGAGCAAAGAGATTTGAAGGATTAAAAATTAATCAAAGAAGATAAATCAGGCCATTAATTCTTCAGAATTAATATGCATGTTAGTCACACATTTTGCCCTTTTGCCTTTCAATTGTGTGTGAAGTAAATTGTTATCTCTACATATGATTACCTAAGTTTTCTTTTTGTAAATGGTATTTAATTCTTTTAGAAAGTAAACTTTCTACCTTTATCAAATGTAAGCTTAAAGGATAAAATAAAATTAAAGAGGAAAATATTATTTTATTCTCTATTAGAAAACAAGCCAAGTTTCTATGTTTTGAAGACATGTCTTGGTGTTTTAATTAGAATACCTTTGGTTAATATTTCAGCTTGAAGTGATATAAAAGTACAATAACTATTTCACTGGTTCATACTTAGGTCATATTCTACATAAAATTAATAACTGGTTTATTTTTGGCATTAATATACTCCATGGAAAAATATAAAAATAAAAACCAGGAAGGAAGTTTAGTTCATAAATTGTTTAGCTACCTGTTTATCCTATGCTAAATGGAAAAAGAAGAGCTCAAAGGGTAAATGAGTAGAACAGGTTACATTCTACCCTTGACTGTGGAAAGCTTGCTTAACAGGCGGACAGATCCTGACATAAACTTGCCCCAGTCACACAGCCCAGAGGCACCATTGAAGGGCTAAAGGATTTGCTGCTTGTGGGCTGCATAGTCTAGACTAAATACTCAACACCTCTTAGGGAGAAGTTTACTGTAAAGAGCTTGGACTTTTCCAGTCTTATAGCCACCAAAGGGAAGGGAAATAAAAGAACAAGACTTCATGGGAAGGAAGCCTAATGTTTGCCTGAGATTACATTTATTTTATTTAACATTTATTTTATTTAACATTTACTTATATAGTTCTTACACTATGCAGAATGAGGATCTTCTAAGTGCTTAAAAATTCTTAACTCAATTTACTATTTGTACTAATTTTATGAGATATGTAGTTTCATTATTCTTATTCTACTGATGAGGAAAATAAAGAGAGGTTAGACAGCTCACTCAAGGTCACACAGCAAGTCAAGAGTAGAAGAAGCAGTGATGTGAACCCAAGGATTTGTCTCTGGATCCCTGCTCTTAATACTCCACTGCCTGTCACGTTGAACTAAAACAGTGGCTCTCTGACACTACTGAGAAACAGAAAAACAGAGGTTCTCTAACATTCATGAGCAGCAGAATCACCATGACAGGAATGTGAGGTGCAGGATGGGAATCAAAAAGATCATACTCTCAAAGAAATGTATGGCCATCTTTGGTTAGTAACCCAAAGACTATATACTGCCATAGTTGCTGCAAGTGAATACATTCATTCTTAATTTAGTTACACACCATGTGTTTATTGCGCTCCGACTTTATGCCAGGCACTGGGCTAGCATCTAGGTGAACAAGCAGTCACAGCCCATATCCGCAAATGCTTTTCGGTCCACAGGTGAGAGAGCTATTAAACATAAACAGACACATAAAATAGATAATCACAAACTGTGATAAGGTCTGAGGGAAAGCAATAGGGTACAATTAGAATAATAAGTAAAAGCTTAATTTAACAAGTCATGTGGGGCTGGCCAGGCAAGGGTGCTCTGAGAAGGTTCCAGGTAATCCTGAGGTCTGAAGACTGAGTGGGGGGTCAGTGCCAGGTCAGTGTGGGGTAAGGAGTTATGCCTCTCCGAATCCACTTTCCACCTCCCTCCATTCGTCTCTCTGCTCTGAGGCTGATCTAAATGGACTACAGCAGGTGGTTGTATCTCAGTGGTCCTCACCTAGGGGTTATTTTGCACCCCAGGGACATTTGGCAGAGTCTGGAGACATTTTTCATTGTCATAACTGGGAGGCATCTAGCTGACAGAGGCCAGGATGCTTCTTGCTAAACATTCTACAGTGCTCAGGATAGCCCTGTCCCAATACAAGGAATTATTGGCTCCGAATGTCAATAGCGCCACTGTAGAGAAACCCTGAGGAGGGAGGAAAAACAATGTCAAGGGTTTTATTCTCCCATTCCTGCCCCATAGAGTTAGCCTCAGTTGACTGCATCTCTTGCCTGAATGTGCCCCCTCCTCACAAAACGGGTGACTCTTCTGGACTCACTCCTTGTTGGGTCTAGGAGTGTTAAGCACTATCCACTGTGATTCCTCTATACCCACATGTTTGTAAACCGTCCCTGTGTAAATAAATGCACCTCAAATTATCCTTTTAAACTATGCCATCTGTTTCTTGTTGGGACCCTGAGTGATGCAAGTGTGTTCTGGCAGAAGACAGCCTGTGTGGGGACTCCACAAGCGGAGCCAGGGGAGAGAGACTGCTCCTGCCAGAGACACCACATAAGGCAGAGAGGCAGGGACACGAATACCTTGGCTTCTTCCTTTCTCCTGCCTTCCAGTATCCTGCAGTGCCTTCCATTGGCTGAAGCCAGTTGAGAGACAGCTAACATGAGTGTCTGAAAATGCAGGTCCCAGGAGTCAGTGAAGGGCAAGGATGGATCTGAGGGTAAATAGGCCCGGGACCTGCACAAGGAGAGCAGCCCTACAGTGTGAATATTAGAAGGTTACTGCAGCAGTCTGTGGAGAGCCTGATGGTGGTTTGGATTAGGGTTGATGGAGCCAGAGAGAAGGCAAACACGTGTCTCCCATTGCCTTTGGACTTGTAGTTTGGGAAACACAAACTTCCATGTTACAAGGCCAGGAGGGTAGTGAAGGGGAGGCATGCATGTGTAAGGCCATCTGGAAAGGGCAAACAGCTTCTTTCAGGCCTAAAGCCATTACCAGGTTGGAATGTGGCCCCAGTACTGCCAGATCCTCAAAGATTCCAAGAGAAGACAAGTCTCCAGATTCTTACATGAAAATTTTCAATTTTTAAACAGTGACACTAATGAAAACACATGCACTGTGAACTGAACTGGATTTGGCTCCTGACTCTAGAGTCTAGAACAATGAGTTTGCAACCTCAACCTACTGAGGGTTGTTACAAATGAGGCGTCTATTAGACAGTTCCCAGCTCTGCTTCGGTCTCTCAGTCTCTCTTTTTCTTTTTTAAATGCAGGATGTATGAACTAGATCCAGTGTTTTTTTTTTTTTTTTAATGCTTTCCAACAAAAAGTACAGAAACAAATTTTATTCTGGGAATGACAGAACCACAACTGTCACCCATAAGTCAGGATTGAAAATGTCTGGCTCATCCAAATAGCCACATTGTGTTCATTCTTCACTTTCACTATAAAAGAATGGTACAAATGTAAACATGCATAATGTATTTATCATTAATAAAACATTGCTTTACAGATTTTATACACTGGACTCTGTGAGATTGTTTTGAGGAAAAGAAAAAAGGTTTTTATTTAAAAACATTGAAAACAAGTAGGCTAGATGAATGCCCTAAAGGTTGGTGATTGGAAAACTGATAACCAGAAGGCCTGAAGCTCAGGGCTAAAATGGTCAGAAAAGCTTGTTTGTCAGTGGCAGTCCTTATCTATAATTGACCTATTCACTGTGTTAAGGCTTGTGCAAAGGCAGAATTTAGGGCTTAATTACTCCAAGCAAAGTCAACAAATAATTGTGAAACTGTATCTCCAGAGGAGTGCTGATGTCAGGGAAATCAGACCTGCAAAGAGGGTGGCAACTGTAAACCTGGAGACCATAGTCCAACATATGACAGAGGCTGAGACAAACAGGTTTTTTTGGGGGGGTTTTTTTTGTTTGTTTGTTTTTGTTCTTTTTTTAGACAGAGTTTCACTCTTGTCACCCAGGCTGGAATGCAATGGTGCAATCTTGGCCCACCACAACCTCTGCCTCCCAGATTCAAGTGATTCTCCTGCCTCAGCCTCCTGAGTAGCTGGGATTATAGGCACCACCATGCCTGGCTAATTTTTTTAGAGGGGGTTTCACCATGTTTGGCCAGGCTGGTCTCAAACTCCTGACCTCAGGTGATCCACCCTTCTCAGCCTCCCAAAGTGCTGGGATTACAGGCATGAGCCACTGCGCCCTGCCGAAAACCAGGTTTTAATAGGAAATGAAAAGTGCAAGACCAGCTCGGTCAGGGATACCCTAACCCAGCGGTGCTAGAGGAATTAAAGACACACACACAAAAATATAGAGGTGTGGAGTGGGAAATCAGGGGTCTCACAGCCTTCAGAGCTGAGAGCCTCGAACAGAGATTTACCCATGTATTTATTGACAGCAAGCCAGTGATAAGCATTGTTTCTATAGATTATAGATTAACTAAAAGTATTCCTTACAGGAAACAAAGGAATGGGCTGAAATAAAGGGATGAGCTCTGGCTAGTTATCCGCAGCAGGAGCACATCCTTAAGGCACAGATGGCTCATTCTATTGTTTGTGGTTTAAGAATGCCTTTAAGCGGTTTTCCTCCCTGGGTGGGCCAGGTGTTCCTTGCCCTCATTCCGGTAAACCCACAACCTTCCAGCGTGGGCGTCATGGCCATCACAAACATGTCACAGTGCTGCAGAGATTTTGTTTATGGCTAGTTTTGGGGCCAGTTTATGGCGAGATTTTGGGGGCCTATTCCCAACAGAAAAGAAGTTCAGTAACAAAAAGGAAACCCCCAAAGCTCCAATTCCCAGTGAATCAAATTGTTTTCCTGTTTTTGTGTTCCCTTTTAGGCATTATTCACATGCAAAATGATTTCTACAATATAGAAATGCTGGTAGTAAAGTTGTGATGCACGCAGATGGAGATGGACGTTTCGTCCCTTTCAGACCTTAAAGTAGTAATGATCCTGCTAGGCCGGGACTTAAGGAGGATTCGTTGGGCTGCAGAATAAAGTTCCAGATCCTTAACATGGGAAATAAACAATAATCAGTTTCTCACTTTCCCATGAAGCCTCAGCTCTCACCACACATGCACTGCTGCTCTTGGAGCCCTGTGCTTTTTGTGCTGTGACCATACTTACCTACATTTCCTTACCTCATCCCACCAGACTGTTCCATGCTCCCTTGAGCATATGCCGCCACTTCCTTATGGAAAGTTATTTCAGGCCTACATTTCAATTCTTCCATGAAGCCTTTCTCACCCTCAGGTAGAACTGTTTCCTCCTTATTTCTCTTTACAGTTTGTATATTGCCTGTAGCAATTCATGGAACATGTTTAAAGCCTGCCCTAGTCTTCTTAAGGGCTGGGTCCATGAGGGATTTATGTGACTCTCTCCCGTGCCTCTCCCAAGGCCTATCCAGTGCCAGGTACAAAAGCAGTACCAGATAACTGTTCAGTGACTGAATGATATCTTCGCTTTGTGGAATTTTCAAGGATGTCAGAGCAAATTTGTAAGATTGTTGCATTCAATCATTCACCAAATTTTTACATAATGTACTCTAGTATATTTTGGGCATTTGCCCAGGTGCTGAGGATCCACTGATAAACAAAATATCATCCTCATCCTCACACATTTTAGAGGGGGAGACAGAAAATGAACATATCAACATTTAATATGTCGAAAAGAGTAACTGCTGTAAAGAAAAACAGCCAGTGAGTAAGGGATAGAGGTGATGTGGGGTACTATTTTAGACAGGCTTGTCAAAAAGTCCTCTCCAGAGTTCAGTGAGTTCCGAATGAACTGAAGTGTGAATAATGCACACGTTAAGGAAGAGAGTTGCAGACAGGAGGATCAGCAAGTGCAAAAGCCATGAGGTGGAAGCATTCTTGACTTGTCTGAGAAACTACAAAGAGGCCAGTGAGGGAGAGAAGGAGCTAGGAGTTGGAGCATGTGGGGCCTGGCAGGCTATGATAAGGAATTTACATTTTATTCCCAGTGTGTTGTCAGCCATTGTGGGGTATTGCATAGGGAAGAGACATGGTGTAATATAAGTTATCACATGGCTGCTGTGATGGTTAATACTGAGTGTCAACTTGATTGGATTGAAGGATACAAAGTATTGATCCTGGGTGTGTCTGTGAGAGTGTTGCCAAGGAGATTAACATTTGAGTCAGTGGGTTGGGAAAGGCAGACCCACCCTTAATCTGGGTGGGCACAATCTAATCAGCTGCCAGAGCAGCTAGAATATAAGCAGGCAGAAAAATGTGAAAGGAGAGACTGGCCTAGCCTCCCATCCTGTATCTTTCTCTTGTGCTGGATGCTTCCTGCCCTCGAACATCGGACTCCAAGTTCTTTAATTTTGGAACTCGGACTATATAATATATATATTCCATTAGTTCTGTCCCTCTAGAGAACCCTGACTAATATAGCTGCTCTGAGAATAGACTATAGAGGAGGAAGAGCACAAGCTGAGAGACTTAAAAATGTTTATTCCTAATATTGTTCATTCTTGACTGCTTTAGTGATTCACCGATTCATTCAGTATTCTTTGATTCAACAAAAATGTATTGAATTTTTACTATGAACTCTTCTGGGTATGGTGGATATAGACATAAATAGAAAGGTCCCTGCTCTCATGAAACTTACACTCTAATGAGGGAGGTACTCCCCACTCCAAGTAAGATTTGAGATTATACAGCCCTTCTGGCTCTTCTCCTTCACCAAGGCCTGCAGCTGGACTGGGAAACTCCTGACTGCAGAGGCACAGTAGAAGTGCCATTATCATTGCCAGGTCAGCTTCTCTGCAGCACTTGGAGAATCATGAGAATCACCTTTTCTTCTGGAACTCCAGGTCTTCTGGTAGTTGGGCAGTAGAGCTGTACTGGAAGCTGCTATAGCTGTGGCCACCTATCCTCAGAGATTCCTGCAAAAGAATTGCCTTAAACCACAGAGAACCTGGATGTCTTTTACATCAGAGTGCTAGTGTTAATCTGATGAGACAATGACAATCTTAAGCACTGGCAAGACTTCATGAAAGACTTCTTTAATCTCCTTAAGATAGCGACCTCACAGGGAATGACTGGCTGCTGTAGAATTTGGATGAGCCTGAGGGCTTTACTTATGAATGACATGTTGCACACTCAGCCTTGGAAATGGCTGCCTGCTTGTAAAGCCATTGTGCTTCACTGACTCTGATGGGCTACTCTGGAGCAGGGATGCCCAACAAGGGCCAGGAGGGATCCATGGGGAGACTTCCCCACAGAGGTTTTTCTTCTGTGATTGCAAAGTTTAGACTGGAATAAATTTCTCTTTAGTGGTTTCATTTAGGAATGTAGAAATAGGTTAAATTGAATTTGAATTGTTTTCTTTAGTTTCAAAAGACATGTCAGAATGTGTTCTTCTTCAAAATATTTATTTAAGAGACTCGATTTAGCTTTGGGAAAGTGAATGGTTGTTTCTCATGTCTAATGCTAGGAAAACTTAGGCAACTATCATAGAATGGATATGATTAATTATATACGTCCTTAATAAATATGGTTTCTTCCTATTTTTCTACCAAGCACTATGTTAACTATTAGGGAGGATGTTATGCCTGAGACATAATTTCAGCAAGCTCTCAGTCTAAGCAGAGACCATAACCTTTATTCAACAACCAACTTAAATGTGTTATTTTGACAAAAATTTTGAACCATCTGTAATTCACAGTTTCTTTCTTGTGATGTCTTAATATAGTGAATTGGAGTCTCCAGATTTTAGGAAACTTTTTATGGGTTTTACAGTGTTTACTTAGTCTTTGGCCTTAATTTCATGATGTGTACATTTCCATCTATTAAAAATCAGAATTACCAGCATGTTATTCACTTAGCTAAAATAAGGACTTACTTAGGCTTGCTATGTTTTGTTTTTGATATTCTGGAATATATTCTGACAAGCTTTTGAGTGGGGAGAAGAAAAGATAAGTGCTGTTTATTATTTAGTAGTACCTTACTAAACTCAAAGATAAGCCTTGAGATGCTCTAATAAGGGGAAAAATGGAATACCTTCCTTTATGTTAGAAGCAAGTGATGTTATTGAAAGATTGCTGAAGTTTTAGTTGGCATATCTCAATTTTTCCTACAAACTGAGTGTGAATAATATTTAATGGTAGAATGAGATAATACCCAGAATAGGTAAACAAATGTTAAAGACCATAGCACAATCCTGCACCTAGTAGACACTCAGTTATTTAGTGTTAAACATGTGGAACTGAGAGAATTAATTTATACTTACATATCCACTTCATTAGAATAACAATGAGTTCACAGAGTTCATTACAGAAAGTTGTATGAGGTTCACACATAAGGGAAGGAGGTACTTGCTTTATTGATTGAGAGAGTGTTTTCTATTTGACTGTTATATTTATTAGAAACAGAATCTTCTTTCCATTTAATTTTTTTTTTTTTTTTTTTTTTTTTTTTTTAGAGTGGACCTTGCTCTGTCACCCTAGCTGGAGTGCAGTGGAATGCTCATGGCTCACTGCAGCCTTGACCTCCTGGGCTCAAGTGATTCTCTCATCCCTACCTTCCAAGTAGCTGGGACCACAGGTGCATGCCACTATGCCCAGCTAATATTTTCTGTAGAGACGAGGTTTTGCCATGTTGTCCAGACTTGTCTTGAACTCTTGGGCTCAAGCTATCCACCTGCCTTGGCACCCCAAAGTGCTGGGATTACAGGTGTGAGCCACTGCACCTGGCCCTTCATTTAATTTTTATAAGTTTTGGTAGTTGAACTTCACTTCTAGTTTGTCTATTCCAAATTCATCACTGCAAGCTCTTGCAAGTTCTTGGTGTTACTTGTGGTAGTGAGTAACCTGGCTCATTTTTCTATTTGTATTGTAGATCTTTGGTTAACAGTCTCTTCATTACCATTGGCTGGTTCCTTTTGTACGTTTCTAGACATTTCTCACAAAATATATTGCTGACTATGATATGTGTGTGTATGTGTGTGTGTGCACACATTTCTGAGCACTCTGATCACCCCAGATAGAAATAATCTCTTTTTTCCAAGTATTCATTGCTTTATTCCCATCACTGTAATGATTTAGCAATTTAAAAATCCCTCGCATTATAATCATTCATGTCTGTGTCTAAAAATCATTGAGCTCCATGAAAGAGCAGAAGCAATATCCGAACACGTTTTTGTCTTGATCATGTAGAGTAGATGAATTCAATGAATATTTGTTAACTGGATGAACACGTGTGCTTGTTTGTGCATGTACACATGCATTCATAATATCATTGTATTTCATTTCTATAGATGACGTCTTCAATCAGAGCGTACATCAGTGTTTGAAAAGACTACTACCAATATTCCTTCTACGTTGTGTATATGAATGGGGATTTCAGTTTAGGGACTGTAGCTATTTGAAGAAACTCAGAATTTGTCTCTTAAATTCACGGTTGGCCTAAAGAGCCTGTGCTCAAAAAGGAGAAGTCACATTCCTTATAGCGGAACATCAGGTGTCCTATTAGCTGCTGTTTCTCAGCAGTTCACAGCCATGTCACATTTTTAAAAAGCTGTGTATGCCACATCCTTGAAGGGCTTCTTCTGCCTTTTCTTTTTGGGGATTTCTCTGCTTCAGCTTACAAGGTCATAGCTGCTCTGACTGCCACCTTTCCATAGGCTCCACACAGGACAATAATGATTGGACAGTGATTTAGTGCTCCCGTTCTGAGTGTGTGCAAAGACCTTCTAATGAGGGATACATCTTTTTAAAAATTTTTTTTTTATTATGCTTTAAGTTCTGGGATACATGTGCAGAACGTGCAGGTTTGTTACATAGGTATACATGTGCCATGGAGGTTTGTTGTACCCATCAACCCATCATCTACATTAGGTATTTCTCCCAATGCTATCCCTCCCCTAGTCCCCCACCCCCAACAGGCCCTGGTGTGTGATATTCTCCTCCCTGTGTCCATGTATTCTCATTGTTCAACTCCCACTTATGAGTGAGAACATGCGGTGTTTGGTTTTCTGTTCCTGTGTTAGTTTGCTGAGAATGATGGTTTCCAGCTTCATCCATGTCCCTGCAAAGGACATGAGCTCATCCTTTTTTTTCTGGCTGCATAGTATTCCATGGTGTATATGTGCCACATTTTCTTTATCCAGTCTGTTATTGATGGTCATTTGGATTGGTTCCAAGTCTTTGCTGTTGTGAACAGTGCTGCAATAAACATACGTGTGCATGTGTCTTTATAGTAGAATGATTTATAATCCTTTGGGTATATACTCAATAATGGGATTGCTCTGTCAAATGGTATTTCTGGTTCTAGATCCTTGAGGAATCGCCACACTGTCTTCCACAATGGTTGCAGTAATTTACACTCCCATCAACAGTGGAAAAGCGTTCCTATTTCTCCACATCATCTCCAGCATCTGTTGTTTCCTGACTTTCTCATGATCACCATTCTAACTGGCTTGAGATGGTATCTCATTGTGGTTTTGATTTGCATTTCTCTAATGACTAGTGATGATGAACTTTTTTTCATATGTTTGTTGGCTGCATAAATGTCTTCTTTTGAGAAGTATCTGTTCATATCCTTCACCCACTTTTTGATGGGGTTGTTTTTTCTTGTAAATTTGTTTCAGTTCCTTGTAGATTCAGGATATTAGTCCTTTGTCAGATGGATAGAGTGCAAAAATTGTCTCCCATTCTGTAGGTTGCCTGTTCACTCTGATGATAGCTTCTTTTGCTGTGCAGAAGCTCTTTAGTTTAATTAGATCCCATTTGTCAGTTTTGGTTTTTGTTGCTATTGCTTTTGGTGTTTTAGTCATGAAGTCTTTGTCCATGCCTATGTCCTGAATGGTATTGCCTAGGTTTTCTTCTAAGGTTTTTATGGTTTTAGGTCTTATGTTTAAGTCTTTAATCCATCTTGAGTTAATTTTTGTATAAGGTGTAAGGAAGGGGTCCAGTTTCAGTTTTCTGCATATGGCTAGCCAGTTTTCCCAACGTCGTTTATTAAATAGGGAATCCTTTCCCCTTTGCTTATTTTTGTGAGGTTTGTTGAAACTCAGATGATTGTAAATGTGTGGCATTATTTCTGTGGCCTCTGTTCTGTTCCATTGGTCTATATATCTGTTTTGGTACCACTACCATGCCATTTTGGTTACTGTAGCCTTGTAGTATAGTTTGAAGTCAGGTAGCATGATGCCTCCAGCATTGTTCTTTTTGCTTAGGATTGTCTTGGCTATATGAACTCTTTTTTGGTTCCACATGAAATTTAAAGCTGTTATTTCTTGTCATCTGCTACCTTTTGAATTTGTTTGCTCTTGCTTCTCTAGTTCTTTTAATTGTGATGTTAGGGTGTTGGTTTTAGATCTTTCCCACCTTCTGATGTGGGCATTTAGTGCTATAAATTTCCCTCTAAACACTGCTTTAGCTGTGTCCCAGAGATTCTGGTATGTTGTGTCTTTGTTCTCATTGGTTTCAAAGAACTTATTTATTTCTGCCTTAATTTTGTTATTTACCCAGTAGTCATTCAGGAGAAGGTAGTTCAGTTTCCATGTAGTTGTGAAGTTTTGAGTGAGTTTCTTTCCTTTTCTTTTCTTTTCTTTTCTTTTCTTTTCTTTCTTTCTTTCTTTCTTTCTTTCTTTCTTTCTTTCTTTCTTTCTTTTGTTTGAGATGGAGTCTTACTCTGTCGCCAGTCTGGAGTGCAGTGGTGTCATCTCAGCTCGCTGCAACCTCCGCCTCCTGGGTTCAAGAGATTCCTCTGCCTCAGCCTCCCAAGTAGCTGGGTTTACAGGCACACACCACCACGCCCAGCTAATTTTTTGTATTTTAGTAAAGACAGGGTTTCACCATGTTGACTAAGATGGTCTCGATCTCCTGACCTCGTGATCTGCCCACCTCAGCTTCCCAAAGAGCTGGGATTACTGGCGTGAGCCACTGTGCCTGCCCTTGAGTGAGTTTCTTAATCCTGAGTTCTAATTTGATTGCACTGTGGTCTGAGAGACTGTTTGTTATGATTTCCATTCTTTTGCATTTGTTGAGGAGTGTTTTACTTACAATTATGTGGTTGGTTTTAGAATAAGTATCATGTGGTGCTGAGAAGAATGTATATTCTTTTGATTTGGGGGTGGAGAGTTCTGTAGATGTCTATTAGGTCCACTTGGTGCAGAGCTGAGTTCAAGTCCTGAATATTCTTGTTAACCTTCTGTCTCATTGATCTGTCTAATATTGACAGTGGGGTGTTAAAGTCTCCCACTATTATTGTGTGGGAGTCTAAGTCTCTTTGTAGGTCTGTGGGTTGAAAAGACTGGGAAAAGCATATTATCTGTGCTGGAATGCACCGTTCCTCATGGCATGTTCTCTTGTTCTCTTATGGCTTCTCTTGGCTATGGGAAAGAGTTCCCTGACCCCTTGTGCTTCCAAGTGAGGCGATGCCCCACCCTGCTTTGGTCTGCCCTCCGTGGGCTGCACCCACTGTGTAACCAATCCCAGTGAGATGAGCCCGGTACCTCAGTTGGAAATGCAGAAATCACCTGCATGCTGTATTGATCTCGCTGGGAGCTGCAGACCAGAGCTGTTCCTATTCGGCCATCTTGCCACCTTATCATTGAGTTCACTCGCATTTTTTTCTTAACCTCTCTGAAAGTTGAAATTTCAGTTAGATATGCACAGATGTCAATACTGACCCATGGCGGTCATTTGTGATCCTGAATAAATGACTTAAACTCTCTCTAAGTCTCCGTTTTCTTGTATATAAAATAAGGACAATAACTCTACCTACCTTATGATACAGTAGTGAGGATTGTATTGTAACATGGGCCCAGGCACACTGTGGATGGTTGATAGATGTTAGAGATAATCATCAAGAAATGCTGTGTGACTAGAGCAAATGTCTGTAAATCATCAGCCAGTGATGGCACAGAGGATGCTTTCAACAGATAATAGCTAAAATAATGATGATATTAATGATGACATTTGTGATAATAATGATAAAAATGATAGCGACTTTGACTTATCATAAGGTAGTATTTGTTAAATGACTCAAAAAGCCAGAACTGACTTTAGCAGTGAATCCTATTCTCATTGCCTTATGTTTTAATTTGCAATGTAAATGTTTGGTTTGTATATTTTGCCTAGAAGACAATATAGTTGAAGATATTCCACTGCTTTCCTTCTTGTTTTAACTAGGAAAGTGATCTCTTTACTCTCATCCAAACAAGATATGTTTTCCGTCACTTTTAAGTCTATTCTTATGAAATCTCTGTCTAAATTCTGTTCATTGAGTCATCTGAAGACTCTCTTTTCCATTTTGTTACAGAACCATAATTATCATGTGATCTAGACCTGATACATTGTAGATGAAGAAACATGTCGACAGAGCCACTATCTGCCCAACATCTGATGGGTAGTCATAGTCACAGTGGAACTGAGACTAAGGTTTCCATTTTTATTTGACTATGCTTCTTCCCAAGGTAAATACAGGATTTGAGATCCATATTTTCTACTTGCATGACTGTGTTGAGGTTTTTCCTTTTCAAACAGGAGACTTCATTTTTTTTTTGTTTCACGTGTAGGGATTCATTTATAGATATTTTTTCTTTCAAGTGGTCCAGTCTAACAATAAGATCACAAACTCCTTTTTGATGGTGACCATTTCTCAGATTTCTTTTTCTAATCTCTAGCATAGAGTTTTATACTGATATGCTACTCAGTGATTTGCTGGTTGAATTAATTTTTAATTAAATGAAAAGAATGTCACACAGCTCTAACAGTGACACTATTTTTGCTCAATTATTTTTTTTTTAAATTTGTTATCTATTTCTTGTGAAAGACTATGTCTCTGAATATTTGCTGACAAAGTGGCTGAATTTTATCTGGGAAATTTCCAGTAAGAATCACTGATGTCCTGAATAGTATCTCAGGTGTAGACTGGCAGATAGGCTCAAATTTCTTCAAGTTTATTATTAGTTCTATAGTGCTGCTTCAACACCTCCAAATAGCATATGATCAACTGTATCTCCTTTTGAATATACACTTTAAGAACATTATCAAACAACAGAAAATTAATGCTTCTGGGCCATTGGACAATGTTCATAGCTTACAACGTTATGTCAGGAAATTTTAATCTAAGTGTGGGTTACATCTCTCATTGCAATCAGAATGTTCAATATCTATTGAGTGACTGTCATCTACTAAGGGTTGTGCTAGGCACTGTCACATACATTATCTAATTTGTTTCTCATGAAAAGTCTGTGAAGTGAATATTATTATCCCTATTATGACAGTGCCTAAATTGGGAAATGAAGAGGCCATGCGATCTGCTCAGGTCACACAGACTGGCCTATACATATTTCTAATAAGCTTTGAAAGTATTTATGCATTATCTCAAAAATGTTTTAATTATCTTGCACTCATATAAAGCATATGTTGAATTTAACTACTATTATCATTGCACTATTTTCATGAATTTGGACAATTTTCAAGATCAGATTTTTATTTTCCTGTTTCCTTGTCAAATGTAGCATTGCAATATAGGTGAAATAGCATGTTTAGGATACTCTAAGAAAATATTTTTTGTTAATGATTTGAAAATCCAGCAGATTTTTAGACCAGACATAAGCTACACATATAAATTTATGCTGATAAGTATTTGGCTTAAAAATGTAAGACTAAATACACCAAATTCATATTATTAATTCTGATTATTACTCTTTTAAGTGTTTGTATACGATCATCATGTATTACTATTACTTGTACTATTGTTTGATAAGACAGACCCAGAATTCACCAATTAGTTAGATGATTGAAAAAGTCTTCTCATATAAATGTTTAAAAATAAGCTCTTTAATATTAGAAATTTTTAGCAAGTAGTGATGGCAGACTTGTTTATAAAAAATTATTAAACTTTTATTTTAATTTAATTACACAATGTTTGGCTCATATTTTGCTTCTTAGCCTACCTCAGTGACTGCCTTTTGAGCACCATGCTGACAAATTACGGTCAGAGGTGAGAATAGCCCCATTAAAGGTTGCAGGAATTGCCGCAGAGTGGGAAGTTGAATTTCCAGACCAAACTCAAATGTAGTCCATGGTATCTTCATGCTTTTTTCATGCTTCTAGGATAAGGGAAATTGGAAATGCTACAGATGTGTATGGATTGAAGTGTGAGTAAACCTGAGGATGTCTGGCAAGAATAACTTTCTTTATCTCACACACCAGCTTCTGCTGGGATCTAAGAAAAGGGCGTTTTCTATTAGCATCATTGTTCAAAAGACACATACACTAATTAGATTTTTTAAGCTGCTGCTACCTGAGGAGGCTTAATCTTCTTTGATATTATTTTACAATAGACTTTCCCTCCCCCCGTTATCATTTGTGAACTACATTCAGACTTTCAAAAAAAAAATGCTATTAGGATACTGAAAAGTTGTGTGGAACTGTTTTTATTGTGGCAGATATTTTGTATTTGGAATCAAAGTACGTTTAACCACAAAGGGACATAATTTTGCTAGTTGTGGGAGGTTCCCATTCCAAAACAAAAGCAAAAGCAAACCCGTACTTTTATAAGCTTAATAACAGTTGGTTCAAAGTACCGTTGAATTCTAATAGTAGTGCTCTGTCCACTAGGAAGAACTTTCAGGAGACCAATTTATCTACTTTTGTTTGATGTGAACACAATTGTTTTCTGAATGTAAAATTGACTCCTGAGCAAGAAAAAAATTAAAAGTGATTGCAACATGATGCTATACATTTGTCAAAACCCATAGAAATGCACAACGCAAAGAATGAACCCTAATGTAAACCATGGATTTTAGTTAATAATGTATCATTATTGGTTCATCAGTTGTAACAAATGTATCACATGAGTGCAAGATATTAATAATAGGGGAAACTATGGGGAGGGAGTAGGGTATATGGGAATTCTCTACACTTTTCTGCTCAATTTTTCTGTAAACTTGAAGCTGCCCTACAAATAAAGTCTATTAGTTAAAAAGAAAAGTAAGTGGAAGGTAGACCCCTTTTCTTACATGAAGTTTAAAGGTCAGAAAGTTTACCCTTATTGGGAACTGTTAGTGTTTTAAATTCGCAGCATTGCCAATCACTATGACTATGGTAAGCTGTGGGCTCTGTGTTTCCCATTCCAACAGCATGATAAAAGATATTAATTAAAAACTGCATTTGAGAAGTAATATTGAGAAATTTTAATAGTTTTCTTTTCCTCAGGGCTTCTCAGCACCTTTAATTTATTAATGTAATATAGAAAACACCCTGTCACATGGCAAGAGTAATGCCATCTTGAAGCAGAACCAAGATGGGTTTGGCTACTGGATAGTAGCCAATGATGACTGATGTTTGGCGACTGGATTCTGTGTTCCTGCAGCAAGGTCAAGAAACAATGCCTATAGCATAGAAAAATCCCTCATAAAAATGTTTATCTAACTTCCCCAGTGGTCACAAGTTTTGCAAGACAGTCTGACACAGGACTAGCTGCACATGTTTCACCAAAAAAAACAAAACAAAACAAAAAAAAAAACAAATGCTTGCTACATAAGAATACTTTCTCAAGTGAGGGTACAGGGATTAAATGTTTCTTTCTGAGAAACTGGATGTGGTAGCCTCTTTCTTTGGCCTCTCAGCTTCCTTGGCCTTTGAGGGTAGGTTTGCATAGACCTGCTCACTGTAGTACGTGTAATAAAACATGGCTTTCCAAAGGGCAGCTATTATATGCAGCATTTCTGAAACTTTTGAACTGTGGAATAGTTTTTGCAAAAAGCCACTGTTCCCCAAGTAGAATACACTTGGGGAAATCTTATATTCTAATAGTATCATGAAAGATACATGACTGACTCTGAGGGAAGGCATTCTGTGAAATCATAGTGAACATGGTACTCAAAGAGTAAATGTGGACCCTCCACCATCCCCTCATATTGTATCAGTCAGCATGTTCTATTGATTCAGTTCCATAATTTTGCTAATTTTGCTTGCTTTTTATCAAACCCTTTCCATCCCCTTGCTACCATCCTAATTCATGACA
This sequence comes from Homo sapiens, assembly GCF_000001405.40. Taxonomy (NCBI): domain Eukaryota; kingdom Metazoa; phylum Chordata; class Mammalia; order Primates; family Hominidae; genus Homo; species Homo sapiens. The sequence continues at coordinate 86,367,150 of NC_000004.12, read as the reverse complement.
TAATAATCTAACTGTTGAAAGTATAGCTAGGTGACACTTCTTTAATGACATCACTCTTTTAAGGAACTCATGACTTCTTTCTTTTGCAACTCGTTCTTTCACAGTTGCTATCTCTCAACTTCCATCTGAGGGTTCAAGTCTATTCTAGATTATAGGATAGGATGGCCAGCTTCTCCAGTTTGCCTGGGATTGAGAGATTTCCTATGATGTAGGACTTTAAGTGTTAGAACATGAGAAATGCCTGCTAGAACCTGAGAAGTACCTGGCAAATGGAGACCAATTGGTCACCCTACTCCAGGACCTCTTTTGACAAGAGACCTTAGGGCATTAGTTGGTTTCACTGCTACCCCCTTAATTCACTTGAGAATTGGATTCAGAAAGTGTTCTTCAGCACCTTCATTTCCTTCTGCATCCGAGTCCTAGCACTGAATTAGTCCCTGCAGCTGAACCCAGAAATCTCCTTACTGCCACGCTTTTCTGAAAACCTGTTTTTTAAGAGTCTGAATTCTCATCTGTTGATTGCTATGTAAATCTCCATCAATTGTCTGCCTCACTCTGAGGGTTAGGTCTCTTAACATCCTGGTGACTCTGGCCTTTCCTATTGCTGTGGCTGCTTGGGTCTGAAAAATCAAGATTCAGGGTATGGGACTAGATATTCAGGTTTAGGAACCCTAACTTATTGGCTCATTCAGCAATTTTCCTCTTTCCCAAGAGGAAATTTAGTTAAACATTTTTTATGGCAGTTTAATTTACATAGAGTGAAATGCACAGATCTTAAGAATTACACTTTGAGGAGTTTTGACGAATGCATATACCCATATAACTCACATCTCTATCAAGATGTAGGACCTTCTCATCACTATAGAAATTTCCCTCTTGCTATCAACATGGTCCTTGACTGTTTGCCTCCTCCTATCACAGACAAACACAGCTCTGATTCCTATCTCCATAGAATAGTTTTGTCTGTTCTGAAACTTCATGTAAACATATATATATAGTATATACTCTTTTTTGTCTTATTTCTCACTCAGCATGTTTCGAGATTCATCTGTATTGTTGCATGTTTCAGTAGTTTATTCTGAAAATGTAATGTTCTAAAGTTTGTATTTATAAGGTAAGGAAGATCTCCTTGATTGGAGAGCAAGAGATATTCCTAAACATCTTTAGTCCTATCTCAGACTACACACATGCCATTAAATAAATAGATTTGCATATAAAAGATACTAAATACATTTCCATGCTTTTGAAAATAAGAACTTACATTGACTTATTTAAGACTCTTCCTTCAAAAACTCTTATGATTGATAGAACTGATAAGATTCAAAATTCAAGTCAGACTTCTATATTACATACAGTTTTATTTGAAAGCACTTTGAAAAAGAGTTTGAAGCAGTTAAAGTGTTTTTAGACCTAAATACAAAGTTCAAATATGTGATATTGTAACAGAGGTTACCTGCTTTAATATTGTATATATCACAACATAACACTCCATAATAATATTTGAAATAAAAAGTTTTGATAACTGTAAAAAAGAATTGTAAACTGCAGATAATTATAATTAACCATAAATGTTAACTGATCACCTACCATGTATAAGATGATATGCTATACATGGAAAAGGAACTTTCAGGGGAGATAATGAGAAATAGAGGATTAAGTCATAATCAAGTACAAGGTGAGAATTTTTTTTTTTTTTTTTTTTTTTTTTTTTTTTTTTTTGAGACAGAGTCTCACCCTGTTGCCCAGGCTGGAGCGCAATGGTGCAGTCTCGGTTCACTGCAACCTCCACCTCCCGGGTTCAAGCGATTCTCCTGCCTCAGCCTCCCAGGTAGCTGGGACTATAGGCAAGTGCCACCACACCCAGCTAATTTTTGTATTTTTAGTAGAGACGGGGTTTTGCCATGTTGGCCAGGCTGGTCTCAAACTCCTTACCTCAAGTGATCCACCTGCCTGGGCCTCCCAGAGTGTTGGGATTACCTGGCCAAGGTGAGATGTTACATATTCACAAAGTTACAGTAATACAAAATACAATACGGTAAGTGCCAAATGAAAGTAAGTAGATACTTTTATGGGAGTTTATATGGTGAGTATGAATACATATAAACAGTGCCTGACAAACATAATAATCCCAATATGTATCTGTTCTTTTTTCTTTCTCCTTTCATTGAAAACATTTATTTGGTGGGGAGGGCTCTCAAACTGGAGTGCAGTGGTGTGATCTTGGCTCATGGCAACCTCTGCCTTCTGGGTTCAAGCAATCCTTCTACCTCAGCCTCCCAATTAGCTGGGATTATAAGCATGTGCCATCACACTGGACTAATTTTTGTATTTTTAGTAGAGACAGGGTTTCACCATGTTGGACAGCTGGTCTGGAAATCCTGACCTCGAGTGATCCACCCGCCTCAGCCTCCCAAAGTGCTGGGATTACAGGTGTGAGACACCACACCTGACCAAGAGTTTTGGTTTTATCCAACCGGGAATGGGAAATATTTAGGTACTGATGTTTTTAAACTAACTTGTATTGCATAATCAAATTTTAGAAAAGTAATTTTCCTGAAGTGTATAGAATAGACTTAAAAGATTTTTTAAATAACATAAATATAATTGAAATGAGTATGTAAGATCCACACCAAAATATATGTGGAAGGTTGGAATCTATCACTCTTTGTAACTAATACCAAGAATCAACATCTTTGGAAAATACTTCAAAAGAGTTTCAATGGACCTGGAGCAGTGGCTCATGCCTGTAATCTCAGCACGTTGGGAGGTCAAGGTGGGTGGATCACTTGAGCTCAGGAGTTTGAGACTAGCCTGGGCAACATGGTGAAACCCTGTCTCTACCAAAAACACAAAAAATTTAGCTGGGCATGGTGACGCGCACCTATGGTCCCAGGTACTCAGGAGGCTAAGGTAGGAGAATCTCTTGAGCCTGGGAGGTTGAGGCTACAGTGAGCTGAGATTGCACCACTGCACTCCAGCCTGGGTGGTAGAGTGAGACCCTGTCTCAAAAACAAAACAAAACAAATCAACAACAACAACAACAACAACAACAATAAAGAGTTTCAAGCCTGGTGTGGTGGCTCATACCTGTCTGTAATCCCAGAACTTTGGGAGGCCAAGGCAAGAGGATCACATGAGTTCAGGAATTCGAGATCAGCCTATGCAACAGACTTAGACCTCATCTCTGCTAAAAATAAAAAATTAGCCAGGTGGAGTGGCAGGCACCTGTAGTCTCAGCTACTCAGGAGGCTGAGCTGGGAGGACCCCTTGAGGCCAGGAGGTCAAAGGTGCAGTGAGCTGTGATTGCACCACTGCACTCCCACCTGGGCAACAGAGTGAGACCCTGTCTCAAAAAAAAAGAGTTTTATTTAACCAAAATTTTAGTTAACTAAAATTTTAGTAAAACAAGAGGAATAAATTTTCAGATCTGTTGTACAGCAGAGTGACTATAGTCAACAATAATGTACTGTATATCTTAGAACAACTAAGAGAGTAAATTTCAAATGTCTCACTACAAAAATGATGTGAGGTCTCAGTTATGTTAATTTGATTTAATTACTCCACATTGTATACATATATCAAAATATCACAATATTCTCCATAAATATGTACAATTATAACTGCCAATAAAAATAACATTAATAAAAATAAATTTTCAAAAAGCTTAAAAAGGAAACTAACACCTAACGGATGAAAATGATTGGTATTAACCTGTTTCTGGTTGCCATTCTTTTTAATTGCTGAGTAATATTCTATTAGGCAAATGCAGTTGTCCCTCAGTACTCTCAGGGGGATTGGTTCCAGGAACAACCTCTCCATACCAAAAGCAGTGGATGCTCAAGTCCCTTATATAAAATGGCATAGTGTTCCATCCTCCTATTATTTTAAATCATCTATAAATTATTTATAATAACTAGTACAAAGTAAATGCTATGTAAGCAGTTGTTATAGTGTACTTCTATTTGTATTTATTTATCTCTGTGTGTTATCTTTTATTCTTTTTCCCCTAATATTTTTGATCTTCAGTTTTTGAATCTACAGATGTGGAACCCATGAACATGGAGGGCTGACTGTATATCATAATTATCTGCTGTCTAGTTGATATATTTGGAGTTGTTCCTGCTTTTGCTTATTATAAGCAAAGCTAGCATAAACATTTATGTCCAACTTTTTTTTGGTAGACGTAGGTTTCCATTGTCTTGGGTGAATCCTTATAAATAGGAGTGTTGAGCCATACTTTGGGTGTAGGTTTATAATTATAAAAACTACCAAAATTTCCCAAGGTAGTTTTAACATTTTGTACTCCTACCAATATATGTAGGAGAGTTCTGGTTTTCCATGTCCTTGTCAATATGTGATGATGTTAGTCTTTTTAATTTTAGTCACTTTTGTGGGCATGAAATGGTATCTCACTTTGGTTTTAATTTGTATATTTCTGCTGACTAATGATATATAATACTTTTTCATATGCTTATTGGCCATTTATAAATTTTCCTTTGTCAAATGCCTGTCAGAGTCTTTTGCCCATTAAACAAAATTGTTTGTTCATGTTTATTATTGAATTGTAGGACATGTTTTCTATAATCTAGGATTTGTGTGTATCAGAATATTTTCAGCTATCAAGAGTATTCAGATATATGTATCATCTAGACTCTGGCTTGCCTATTCATTTTCTTAATGGTGACTTAGGATAAGTGGAAGCTTTTAATTTTGATGAAGTCTCTTTTTTTTTTTTATGGTAAGTGCTTTCTGTATCCTAAGAAATCTTTGCCTACTGCAAGGTCAGAAAGCCATCTTTAAAAAAAGTTATATTATATTTTAATAGTGTTATATATTTTAGCTTTTATGTTGAGGTGTACAATTCATCTTGAATAAATATTTGTGTTCACAATGTAAGGTAAGAGATGGCGTTCCTTTTTTCCTCATTCATGTTACGTTACTGGACATTCACTTTTAAAAAATTGTTTTATTTTATTTGTAATTGACAATAATTGTATATATTTATGGGGTATAATGTGATGTTTTGATACATGTATACATTGTAGAATGATCAAATCAGGCTCATTATCTGTCACCTCAAATATTTATCATTTCTTTGTAGTAAGAACTTTTGAAATCCTCTCTTTTAGCTATTTTGAAATAGGCAACATTATTATTAACTATAGTCACTGTGCTGTGCAATAGTACACCAGAGCTTATTTCTCCTTTCTAACTGAAACTTTGTACCTATTAACCAATGTCCCCCCTTTCCCTGTCCACCTTTCCGTCCTCCAGCCACTGGTAACCACCATTCTACTTTCTAGTTTTACAAGTTTGTCCTTTTTAAAATTTCACATATAAGTGAGATTATATGGTATTTGTCTCACTGTGCCTGGCTTATTTCACTTAGCATAATGTCCTCTAGGTTCATCTATGTTGTTGCAAATGACAGAATTTCCTGTTCTTATAAGTCTGAATAGTATTCCAGCATGTGTGTGTGTGTGTGTATGTGTGTTTGTGTGTGGTATGCATAATATATATACATTCATCTGTTGATGGACACTTAAGTTGTTTCCATGGCTATTAGAATAGTGCTGCAATAAATATGGGAATGCAGACATCTCTTCGACAAACTGATTTAATTTCCATGGGATTGGGGAACTGACTTTTGATGTCCAAACTTAGTATATAATACCTCAAAAGCCAGAATGCCAATTATTTTGTGTTATAAAGTTGTTTGGCTATCAATCCATATTTTTGCATGAGGTAGTTATCTTGCAGGTAGGCCCATTGAGAAGACTAGAAGATAGTCTTGATTGATTCTTGTTGAAATTGAAATTAGAGTAAAGGGACATCCAAACACTTATCCAATGAACTACAATGACATACAACTCACTCAAGCCTTCCTTTTTCTAAATTTTCTCCCCAAATAAAACAACAGCAGCAACAACAAAGACAACAAAAACGTATGCGTTTCTTACAGCTTTATGATGTGTTTCAGTGTCTACAGTACTGCTGAGTTTGCATCTCTTGCATGTTGTATCTTTCTGGTAACATATGGAAGAAGCTTCATATTCATATAAGTATGCTAGTTCTAAAACATAATGTGGAATCATTTACAACTCAGCACTACTTGGTAGCAATAAACAGAAACCCACCTCAAAAGAGTGTAAGCAAAAAAGGAATTGAATTAGATTACGTAATTTGAGAAGTCCAAAGGCTGGAGTTGGTTTAAGCGAAATTTGTATTGAAAATTTTTCTTACATAAAAAAGGTAAAACAAATTTGGTAAACCTAATTTTTTTTTATAGTGCAAGTAGTCAACTGTTGTCATTCTAAGAAACTATTATTTATGGATAGTAAAACTGTTTGGAGACTTTAAAAATACCCTATAACAGTTAAAGGCAGAGCAAATTACTGAAATAAAATTGCGATATTTGCCCCAAATAGTAACAGTACAATTTTCATCAGTTCTCTAGAAAATTATCTGCAATTAAAAAAAAAAGAATTCTGATGTGTTAACTCAAATTAATCAGTATTTTCTTTGTACACTCAGATTGCAACCTAAGTATTAGTCTGTTGAATTTGGTTTAGTGGATATTTATTCAGGATTTTTACAAAAACAAGGAAACAGAGAAGAGGAATAGTGCTGTGCAGATGACCTCGGGGTTCAGGCGACACTCAAATGCCTGCTTCTCCTCTGAGGTTATTACCATCTCTTACTTGTTTGACGTTTAGAGATACTACAAGAGATAGTTGAAAAGCAGAGGTTGCATTTCCAGTGGTGTTTTGCTCTGCTGGTATTTGCTCCTCCGTGCTGCTGTGCAAAGGGCCAGAACTGCATCGAATGGATCTTTTCTTCAGGTTGTGCAGGCTGGCTGCCTTGATGTCGTAGTTGCTGATGTTGGCTGCCGACGAACCTTATTCCTTTACATTTGCCTGGTCCTCATTTCACCGGAAAACACAGTAGCTGTAGCTGCACATAGACGCTTCCTCTTTCTGTTTCCCCCTCATCCCCCTCCCTAGACCTCTCTGGGCTTTGACGTCATGTGTGCTCCTTTCGGTTGCCATAGCAACCCCATTCCCCAAGCCCTCTGTCCGTCTCCTCTGGTAGGTTCCACAATGGTACAGGCAGCATCACGCTGCACAATGGTTTCCAGGCAGTGAAAGAGGGTGATTCAGCAAGCCACTCTTCTTCTATTTTCTTTAACCTCCCCTTCACTTTTTATTTTTATGGGGGTGGGTGGTGCTTGCTATATGCTTACCTTTTTCTTTTCTTTTTTCATTTTTACAAATTTCCTTTTTTGTCCTCACCCCTCAATTCCTAGGGGCTTGAGTGAGTTTAAGATTGGGTTTTCTTGGAAATCACCTGTCCATCGTTAATTTTAAACAATCTCCATATCTCCAAAGAATCTCTTCCATGTTAGTCTGGAATGTGGTTAATGAAAAACAAGTAGGGAGGATTTCTGGGGCAAACACTGCCGGATCAGGATCGTAGTTCTCAGGCACGGAATGGTAGGTGGCTCTTTGCTCGTTCTGGGTTCTAACCTGTTTTTGGAGGGTGGGGTGATGTCTATTGATTGCTCCTGGTGGGGCGGGAGAGGGAGTATGGAAGAGACGAGAGAGGTGGGGTGGAAAGCAGGTTAATCAAGTGAACTAGCTTTGAAGCAAGAAGCTACCAGTTTTTCCCTCTGTGCAGAACATCTCTTTCCAGACTTGGGCGTGTTGAAACCTTTCCATTTGGAGTGAGGGGTAGCAGAGGGAGGGAGGGAGCATTCTTATTGTGACCAGGGGTTTTTAGACCAATGCAGGGCTACAGAAGGGAAGGGAGAGAGAGAGAAACACACACACACACACACACACACACACACACACACACACACAGAGAGAGAGAGAGAGAGAGAGAGAGGAAAAAAAAAACACCAAACAGCTGTGCTTGTTAGAAGTGCTGACCTTAGTTCCATATCTGAAAAATGTGATGGGTTCCATAAAACATTAAAAATAATGTCTTTTAGTATGTATTTATGTTTACTTTTGTGAGAAGTATAATTTAAATATTTTAAGATGTATTTTACTAAGGAACAGTATTTATATATATATTAGATATAAAACTATTGGCGTTACTCTTGCAGAGCAACTCTAGGCTAAATCTGAGCCGGGGAGAGGAACACAGAACAGGGGTCAGGTTAGAGATAAGAGGAAACATTGGCACTGCAGTCAAATAGGTAAGGGGTCCCTTTAAGAAAGTGATCTCCTAGTCACAGCAGTCAGCTTTCTTTTTTTCATGGCAAGATTCCCAGGTATTCTGTGCTGGGATACTGTGTCCCCTGCAAATGTCAGAGCTCTTTTGAAAAAAAAATCAGAAATAAGTATGGCAGTATATTTGTTAGAATCTATGTATTTGTGCCTTCAACAAAATAAATGTAATTTACTGGAAAATCTGTAAGTAAATCAGGCTATAGATATTACAAGAAAACTATCTATCCATATATTTTTCTCACCCTCCCCAAACATTTAAATCTAGAGACCTAGTCTCTGCTTTTACCCCCTTAAACAGATAACTTCCCAGGGTACTGCAATTTAGCCACAGAAAAAGAATGGCTTATGCCACAGCAGTAGGCTCTGAAGCAATCACAAGGTTGTTTACATGGGCTGCCTTTGGTGCAGAGCCTGACAGTGTCTGTACAGCAGCCCTGCCTGCTTCTGGCCATGTTGATGATAACTTTTATGAACAAACTGCAAGGAAGCAGGCTAAGTCATATGGGATAGACTACAGTTCAGGTGGAAGGAAAACGAGTGTAAGTGCACCAGGCATTGCCAGCACAACATCCAATATCTCCTTCTATCCCTCATCGGCTAGTTGTCGGACCCTGGAAGATAACACAGAATGCTTATCAACATATTTAAAATAGTTGCAGTAAGGACCATTTCTCTCAGAGAAGCTTCTGTGAATTTTCTACTTTAGGTGAGCATATATGTTACAAATATATAACAAATAAATATATAAGTATATCACAAGCTTCTGACTCCACTTCAGAACCATTAGATTTTAGGGGCTGGATGCTTTGGATGTAGCGGTTTGGCTGCCTCTGGTATGTATTTCCTTCTCTACCTTGATCACACTCTTAAAATTGACATAAAGTATTGGATTAGCTTATTTTCTTATGTGGAGCAAACTGGGTTTTCTCTCCCCTACAATGGGACTAGAAAATCAGATGACAAAGGTGGTGTGACCTTAAATATTAGAGAGTCTTCATGCTTCCTCATTTGCCTGTCATTCCTCTGCTGTTGCAAAGTGTCTTTAATTTGAGGGGCTCCTGTTCTTAAAAAATCCTCACAGTTTCAGTAAAACGATTCTGGATAGTGAGGCAGTAAGAAATTATATGTAGAGTGGGAAAATCAGCTGCCTCCAGCTTCCTGCCTGCTAGCCCCAGAACAGCATCTGCTGTTGAGAGGAGTGTGTTTGCCATGCTGGAAGGGGATGTTTATGAACAGATCCCAGAGGGGCTGAGTGTGTTTTTGCTGTCATTGTCTGGTATGTCTGCAGCTATTAGTATTTAATGGTTTCATAGTACATGGTCTATATATTCTAAGGTTAGAATGAACTGATAATTTATTGTCAATGCTATAAAATGTAGATATTTTAAATTTATAGGAAAATTAATAAGATTTTCCTTGTTAGGATATCCTACAGGAACATCATAAGCAAAACAAATTTGCCCAACCTAAGTAATCTAGAAAAACCTCCCATGTTTAAAGGCATAAATATATTTTTAAGGTTTTATTGTGGTTTCATGTAAATGAATCTGTTTCTTTGGATGTAAGCCTAGTTATAAATTCTTTTTATACTGATACTAAAAGCTAAAGACAAATTGGGTATTTACTTGTTTGTTAAATATGGGGATAGATGTTCTCCCTTCATGCTCTAGTTCTGGCCTCAGGTCACATTTGTAGCCAAAGGACTTTCAGTGGAATTGGTGTGTTCAAATCGAATGATTGCTTGGTTGCTTATCAGAATAAAGGACTCAAAGCAAGAGAGACTTCCTTCAATTAGAATGAGAAGCAAACACATTGTTGTCTTAAATTCTTTCTTCATTGCCCTTTCTATTTCCTCTTACAGTCTCTTTTAAGCTTTTGGTTGGACATTGCAACAATCATGCAGAAAGAGGCACGGAAGTGTCCAGTAGTGACAAGAATGGAGTACAATGCTCTATTTGCTGCAGGACTGCTGAGTGCCTTCCTCCTACCACACATGCATCTATTATTGCACCTTCTTCTGAGGACCAAGGACTTGTGGAAAAAGTTGGGCCTATAGACTAGTAGGGGAGATGCTTACTGGTAAAGAAGAACAGAATCCATTTGCTTCTTTGGCATATTGGATATATTTATTGCATTACATAAGCCTGAGATGAGACACTGTACTGCTGATTCAGATAAAAAGATCATGCTGCATATTGATTGTTTAAAAAATGTAACTTAGAATTGGAGCCCATCTTTTCAGAAACCTGTACGTGTTTGCAGAGTGAAGTTGTAAGGTTTTGACTCAAGATTTTTCAGTTTGAGTACATTTTATCCTCATGAACCGATCAAGGCAAAGAAGGGGAAAATACAAAACCTGTGTTTTGCATATCTTTTGTTTTCTGTATTTAATAGGGAGAAGCTGTATTTCTTATTGTGAATCTTGGTAGAAACTCTTAAGAGGAGACATCAGGTAATATTGAAAATCACTAAATATAAACATTTTAGGTTTAAAAAGTAGACCTCACACATATACTATTTCTGGTAAAGGATTTTCTAGTTTATTTGATGTTTTGGATCCATATCAAGCCACTATGGCTTTTCTTACAGTTCTTATCTCTGGTGACTATGAGATGTAAAATCCTTGAGGCTTATGGAAATAATGCTAGTAGGAATGGAAATTGAAGTTTTCAATGGAAAAAGAAATGAATACAGTCTCCTGAGAAGCATCCCTAACCACAGCTGCTCTAAAACCCTGCATGGTGTGCAGGTTTAAGGCAAAGCTTCCCTATAAGGCAATTGGGCATTTGCAGTGACCTGCACAGTAATAAACAGGATTTTCACTACCTTGTGTTTGTACACGTGTGTGTGTGTGTGTGTGTGTGTGTGTGAAGAAAAACAAAAACAAAAACAGCAGTGACTTTAAAGTTCTAGAAATTCATCTTAGTGACTTGTCTTCATAGAAATAAAACTGACTCCTGTTTGTCTGTGTTAACCTGCCTGGGTGCCCTATGTGCTTTCTGAAAATGGATTGCTTAAAGCAATTGTCCTCTTCTTATACATTGGAAATAGGATCTGAAAGCATTGATAGTGAAGGAAAGCTCTTAGGTTAGGTCTGTTTATTTGGCAATGTTTATTCAGTGTTTGTAGGCGGAAGCTCCAGCACAGCATTTATATAATATAGTAATTGCCTATTCTTCTATTACCTGTATTCTCTACTAAGGTTTAATCCCCATCAGGGACTGACTTTTTCTGTTTGGCACACAATAGGGACACACCAAATATTCATTGAATGAATATCTCTCATGTACTGAGTTCTCTGCTAAGTGCTATGGTAGAAAAAATTGGGAAACTGTAACACAGTTTCTGCCATTTGGAACCTATACTCATTTGGGAAGATGAGGCTAAATAACAATAAAGATGGTATAAAATCAAGGGCCCATATTAGTGTTTTGATAATGAGTGCAATAGAAATTCAGAGGAGAAAGGAATTTACCTCCTCTGAAGTGATGGTAGGTGACAATGGGGCTACACTGGGGTGTTGGGGTGAGGTGGTGGGATAGTGAGAGGGTGGTAGTCCTAGGAGTAATTGTGAGCACCTGGGCAGGAAAGAAACTCTTACTTGGGGTAAAGAGGAGGCCTATTTTGGGTATGATGACCATATTTTCCAAACTAGAAATAAAAACTTATGGTTTGACATTGGGTAGAATGTTGCAGACTGCCACATATTCTGAAGAATCTTGTCTAATATAATGTTGGGAAGTAACAGGCTATAATGGTGAAAAAGTAGGTTAGTAACTAGAAGAACATAAATACAGGTCTCTTCAGATGAGCTCCAGCTTAGGTTTACTTTCTTTTGCATACTTCAGAGGTTTTCAAAATTCTCCTCCTTTATTGGTACCTATGTAACCATTGTTCCAATGAAATCTTGTATGAAAAGCAGAATATGTAAATCTATGTAATAGTGGAGCTGTCCCAGTTGAGGATGAGTGGGGTGCCTTGTATTAGAAAACCAAATTCATATCACAAGACTAATTATATTAACTGAAATAAGAATTACTAATTTAGTTTATGCTCAGATATTAAAATAGTTGTTCTGGTATTATAACATCAAAGTTCTTGTGCTTGCAATAAATGATGAATAGAGATAATTACCTTGAGATATTTTCTTTCCTCTGCCTACACTCACCCACCCAGTAACCAACTGTCTTTGATGTCAGCTTTTTGGTTTTCTAAATACAAATTTAAATCTTAAAATCAAACTCATCTGTTTTTTGGCTTTGCTTTCAGGCTAGTGTGAGAAACACCAACAGCAGGCCCATCTCAGATCTTCACTATGGCAACTTATGCAAGAAACTGTTGAATTAGACCCGTTTCCTATAGATGAGAAACCATACAAGCTGTGGTGAGTTGCCAATTTAAAAATATTCCTTAGCATGAAAACTAGGATCTATATAGCCAATTTAAATATTGCATATGGTTTTGTACATGGAGCTGGAGAAATACTGCTCCAAATAATTTCGACTACAGAAGTGAAAATCAATAGAACAGAAGTTTAATAGTTGGTGTGGTACTACTAATACCACATACAGTAGTGAAAAGTCTTGAGGTGCATGGGTGCAGCATATAACACCATGATACTACCACCATGGATGATACCTGCAATTAACATTTTCATGTGGCAGAGTAACAGTTGGGTACCATTATTTTTAAGTGACTTTTATTATTTGCAACATTGTACTATATTTTACAGATTCATCTCCTTTAGTAGAAAAATTGGTTCTGAGCTAAATTATGGTTTTCTTTCAGGAACACACACACACACACACACAATTTAGCTCTTCTGAAATAAGAGAAGAGAAATCACAGTTTTATAAAACTCAATTCATGGGCATTTTAGCCTACAAATCCTTTTGCTTAACAAAGCAATGTTAAAAATAGATACAGTTGCTCTGCCTAGTTGGAATGACTTTAAAACTTATTACTTTATAAAAATATCAGCACACACAGGTAGAATGTCTTTTTAAATCAAATACTTGATGCTTCATAGTCACCAAAGTCAATAATCAATAGATTCCAGCAGAGATGAACGAGTTATAATCTGTCAAATAACATCTTTGAGAACTAGAGTATGACTGTGGTGCTTATAAGACTCCAAAAGAAGCTATTTTGAGCTAGTGATCAATATCTTTCTTTCATTTGCCTAGTGGCTTATATAACTGTAGATAGGTAGGCTGCCCTGTGAATTAATGCACAGCCTATGACTGCGGAAGACTGATGAAATTAATCCTAGAGTTATTTCATATAGTGAATTTATAAAACAATTCATAAAAAACAATCCATCTACCATTATATTGAGAAAGCAGATCTAATAGCATCACTATACTGTGCTTAATTAACATGTATTCAATGAGCGTTATAAATAATTTTATGCAATTGCCAATAACAAACTATTTTTGACCTAAAATAAGGGCAATTTTATATGGTTGAAACTAATATATTATGTGTTACTCCCAGTGATGTAGAAAGCATACCATGTTCTCTCCATTCTGAATATTAATTCATTAATCAAACTCTTATTGAGAATCTGTGATGTAGGTAGAATGTTTAGCTTTTGGGGCAGATAAAAGACAGTCCTTGCTTTAAAGGAGCCCTCAGTCTAAAGAGTGGGGTACTTACAATAAAATGTGCTTATTAATGGAGGTAGTTGTGTTCTAAAGAGTGTGGCACTTACAAAGTGCTATTACATGGGTAGGTCTAGAGTGCCAAAGGAAGTGCATCAGAGGAGACTCTACCACGGATGTGGTAGAGATTAGTCAAGGAAGACTTCCCAGAGGAAGGGATCTTTTGGTGGACTATTAAGCACAGTGAAAGGATAGCCAGAGGAAGGGAGGATGCAGTGCACAGTGGGAACATTTTTTAACAGACCCAGAAGCCTGAGAGAGCATGATTGTGTGGGAATACTAGGTATCATTTACTATGCTGAAGCAGAAATGGTAGTGGCAGAGATAAAGTTGAAGAGGGATACAAGACATGTGCCATGAAGGATCTCTTAGACAAAATTAAGGAGTTTGGATTTTGTTTCAAAGTGAAGAGCTTTTGAAAGATTTTAAATAGGAGATTGACATAATCAGTTTATTTTTTAATTGTGAAATATACCATACGCATAGAAGAGTGTATAAAACAAATACTGGTTAAAGAATAATTATAAATCAAACATCATGTAAACAAATCAAACAACATAAAACAAATCAAGTAAATCAAACATGATGTAATAGACTCCCAGCAAACCCCTATGTGTCCCTTTCAGATCACATACTTTTCCTTCCCCACCATAGGTAACCGCTAGCTACTATCCCACCTTTTGTCATGCACATTACCTTGCTTTTCTTTGTAGGTTTTCCATCTATCTGTGCATCTCTAGGCTATGAATCTTAGTTCTGCCTATGCTTCAGCTCCATGTATTTGGAGTTACAGCATGTATACTCTCAATCACCTGATTATTCTGCTAACATTGTGAGATTCTTTCATGTTCATGCATGTAGTTTATTCATGTAAATTGTTGTATAGTATTCTATTGTATCAATATGCCAATATTTACTTATCTAGTCTATTGTTGTTGAACATTTGGATTAAATCTATTTTACTTAATGCTAGTATAAATATAAATATAATATCATTTTTATGTTTATATATATTAGTTCTCATAGTTTCTGATATTTACCGTTTTCTAGGATAAATAGCAAGGGAAGGAACTGCTGAGTTTTGGGGTATGTGCGCCTTTAATTTTACTAAATAATTCCAAAATATTTTCCCCAATCAGTTGCATCAATTTACATTCCCAGCAGCAGTATATGAGAAACTCTGCATTCTCACCAACACTTGATTTACAAGTTCTTAAATTTTGCTAATCAGGTAGATACATAATTGTACTCATAAAAGTATTAATTTGCATTTTGCTGATTACTAATGAAGAAGAGCATCTTTCCATTTTTTGTTTTTTGGTAATTTGATTTTCGTCTTTTGTGAAGTACCTGCTCAAATCTTTTTGAGATGTGTCTTTCAAAATGATAACTAACACTTATTGAGTTCTCACTGTGTAATAGGCACTATAGTAAGTACTTTACAAATAGTTCATCTTCCTAGTATCCCTGTAATTTAGAGGTAAGGAAACCAAGGTTTAGAGAGGTTAAATCAGTTGCTGACAATCACATAGTTAAGGAACAGTGGACTTAGCATTCAAGCCCAAGTCTTTCTGACTCCAGAATTCTTCAGTTTCTCGGTGTTTGGAAGGGGATTTGGTTGGAACCAGGGAGAACATCTAAGGTGCTATTGCAGGAATCCAGTTAAAAAAATAAGTGCATAAACCAAAGAATTGCTAGTAGGGCATATGTAACAAACAACTGGACTTGGTAATGAATGTGGTGGGCAAACAAGAGGAAGGATTTTTAAAGTCTCAAGTTTTAATACCTGTCGGCTAGGTAGATTCAATATTTGTCATAAAATGTGTGTGTGTGTGTGTGTGTGTGTGTGTGTGTTTGTGTATACACACTGTATATATATATACACACACACATTGTATGACTAATGTTGTAATATATTGTCATCCTTTGTACATATATTGTACAATACATTGTCATATATATATTGCGTGTGTGTGTGTGTATATATATATATATAAAATACAGATATTGTGGTAGGTACTAATAATTCATTTTATAAAGTCCAGGTATTGTAGGTACTAAGAGTACATTTTGTGAATCTACAATTCAATGAGATGAATTTAGTTCACAGGCTCATAAATTTTAGGGTTTAAAGCAATGACACTGTTCATTTGGGTCAAATCTTCACTTTTTTTTAAAGATATGGAAGCAACTGCTAAGGAGGGTAAGTGGCTTGTCCAAGATCACATGTTTCTAAGTGTCAGGTTAAGAATAGATACGATGCCTGCAAAAAAATGCAAAGAAATAACAACCACCTGATTTTTAAATTAACGAGTGATGACACAATCAACCTATTCTATTTCCTAACCATTTCTCAGACAAGTCCTTTTTCATCTAAATCTGTTGTTACTGCCATAATTTAGGTCCTCATCATCATCTTTGGCAGGTTTATTTAAGTAGCCTAGCATACTATCTTCTTGTCCATTATTCTACCAGTGAAGCCACCAGACTTGTTATTTGATTTGCAGTTGTTACCGTATAATTGCCCTACTTAAAGAATTTTCAATATACTCTGTCATCCATGTAATAACTTCCCTTTTCCTTAAGACATGCCATACTTCTGGCCAGGTGGGTGGCTCAAGCCTTTGTAATCCCAGCACTTTGGGAGGTCAAGGCTGGTGGATCAGCTGAGGTCAGGAGTTTGAGACCAGCCTGGCCAACATGGTGAAACCCTGTCTCTACTAAAAATACAAAAATTGGCCAGACGTGGTGGCTCACGCCTGTAATCCCAGCACTTTGGGAGGCCGAGGTGGGCGGATCACGAGGTCAGGAGATCAAGACCATCCTGGCTAACACGGTGAAACCCCATCTCTACTAAAAATAGAAAAAATTAGCTGGGCATGGTGGCGGGTTCCTGTAGTCCCAGCTACTTGAGAGGCTGAGGCAGGAGAATCACTTGAACCTGGGAGGCAGAGGTTGCAGTGAGCCGCGATCGTGCCACTGCACTCCAGCCTGGGCGACAGAGTGAGACTCCGTCTCAAAAAAAAAAAAAATTATCTGGACATGGTGGTGGGCACCTGTAATCCTAGCTACTCAGGAGGCTGAGGCAGGAGAATCGCTTGAACCTGGGAGGCAGAGGTTGCATTGAATCGAGATTGCACCACTGTACTCCAACCTGGGCGACAGAGCAAGACTGTCTCGCACACACACAAAACAAAAAATGATATGTCATACTCCCATCCATCCCCATTTTAGATACTCTTGACCTTTTAAATTGCCTGGAAACACCAGTGTGCTTCAGTCTCATCACATCTACTCAGGTGTTTCCTACCTCTGTGATTTACTTCATGCTGTTTATACTGCCTGTATTCACTCTGCACAGCCCTTACTTACTCCTTTCCATCCTTTAAGACGTTTGTGACTCTATGATGGTCTGGGGGCTAGCAGCATGGACATCTCCTGGAGCCTGATAGAAATGCAGCATCTGAGGTCCTACTACTCAGACAGACACACTGATTAAGAATCTGCATTTTCACAAGATTCCTAGGGGATTTAAATACATGTTAAAGTTTGAGAGTACTGTTTAGAATCACTTTAGATTTCATAAGATTCTATCTCCTCCTGGAAACCTCTCAGATCCCTTTCATCCAGCATTCAATCATTCTTGGTGTTCTCACAGTAACCTGTGCATTATCTACCTCACTGTATTACCATAGTATCTTATTATCTGTTTATTATCTGTTTGTGTCTGCTTTGCCTCCCACCTTAGCCAGGGGGTATTTTGAGCAAGACTCATCTTTGAATTTCTTATACCTCATACAGCGCCTGACACTTGATAGGCACTGCATAAATATTTATTGAATGATTGACAAAAGAAAGAAGAATGAGAAAGAGATTGATATACAGAAAGAAGCAGAAGCAGGACAAAGACAGACACATGAAGAAAAAAACACATAGCTAAAGAGACTTCCATAGAGACAAAAGCAGTTTACACAAAGGCATCACAAATTCTGTCTCTGGATACAATGTGGAAGGCAGCCTGGCAGAGAGTCCATAATCTTATTTAAATAGGTTAGGTAATAGCCTATGTTGTTTGCCAATCTCTCAGAAGAAAAATTTAACTTAATTGCTCATTTAACAGCATTGTTTTTTGATGATTGTTATTAAGTAAATTTTTCCAAAATTTGCCTTACTTTCCTAAACAAACTGTTGTTCTGTCATTTTTACTATTCAGAACCTGTTGGGAATATTATGTGTAGCTTTTAGTGCCCTCTATTAGGAATGACTTTCATAAAATGAAATGAGTCCTGAAGATTTTGTTGAGGATGGTGAAGATATAGAAAACATATCTTGTGGTGGACAGTCAAGAAAAATTATAGTGTTTTGCCCGGAGAAGAGAAATGAAGAGGAAAGATCGAGGTGGAGGGTGGCAGCGCTAGAGAGTGAAAGAGAGTGCAACTTACCAAGCAACTGCCTTCAATATTTAACGGCTTTCATATGAAAGAGGCTAGAGGATGCAGGATTGTTTGTAAGTTGTACTGAAGGCAGAACTAAGAGACCAAAGAGTAGATAGTAGGTACTGCACATAAATTTTTTTTTTATTATAAGAACTGTTTGAGCCTGTGCTTTTTGAAAAGTAGTAAAGTTTTCATCACTGAAAGTATTTAACCATCTTCATGGTTGACCAAGTATGAAGAGCTTTTTAGAGATGATACTACTTTGTGTGGGAGATTGAACTAAATGACTGTAGGATCTAAGGTCCCTATTACTTATGAATCTATAGTTATTCAGAGAAGTACAGGAAGAATGGGGGTTATAATAAAGAACTACAATAGTGGCTAACATTTATAGAGTGCCTACTTCATGCCAAGCACTGTTCATAGTGCTTTGCATGTCCTAGTTCACTTGAGCCTGACAGCAATACTACTGAACATTCCTATTTTATAAAAGGTGAAGACAAGGCACAGATGATTTAGTAATGTGCCACCGGTCATGCAGCTAGTGGTGCATGATTCTGACTCTGGAGCATATGCTTATTACTGTGCTGTCTTCTTTGTAGTGTTAAAGATGAATATTGGACCTAAATAGAGCCTTAAAATATTGATATGGTTTGAATTCCAGGTAAGTATATGGATAAGAATTCCAAGGAATAGTAACAGTAACAATCAAAGTGAAGAGAAATAGAAATTAGCATAACAGATTTGTGGAATCAAATACCTTACAAATGAGATGAATAAGAGAATATTCAGAAATGTTTAATTCTGTGGTGCTGTTCTGTCTTGCTTCTCAATGGCTGCAGCAGTTACCAAGATGGGAAATTAAATCTTTAGGAGTATTTAACCTGGTAAAACCGATATAAGTAGCCCCAGACTATGTTCTGAATTTTGTGTTCCCTCCAAATTCTTATGTTGAAGTCCTAACCCCAAGGAGATGGTATTAGGAGATGGGGCCTTTGAGAGGTGATTAGGTCATGAAAACAGAGGTGATTGGGATTAGTGTCCTTATGAAAGAGACCCCAGAGAGCTAGCTAGTATTTTCCACCATGTAAGGATACAGCAAGAATGCACTGTCTATGACCCAGAAAGCGAAACCTCAACAGACACCGGATCTATTTGTATCTTGGACTTACCAGCCTCCAGAACTGAGAAATAAATTTCTGTTGTTTATAAGCTGCCAAGTTTATGGCATTTTGTTATAGCAGCCTGAATGGACTAAGACACTCTAGTATTGTATAAAATTTTTACAAACTTTTTTCCTCCACTGATTGGTAGAACATGTAGCTATGTGTCTTAGGAAGATGGGGCTGTCACTGTTTGAGAGTTCCCAAGTAATTTGATGCCAGATCAGGAGCACAAATTCAATGCTTTCTCTTAGAAATTGGGATTTTCCTGGAGTTTATTTGAAGACTGAGTAAGCATCTGCAAAAATTTTAGGTTCTTCATAAAGAATTCTCTGTGTTTTGATAACCAGTATCAGAGGAACTAGTATTAAAATCAAAGTATGAGATTTTAATGAAAAATTGGTTAACATAACAAAGCTATTCAGGTTAAGACTTGAAAAATTTAGTGTATAGTTTAACAGCATTCATTTTATGTGATAATTTATTATTTGCATTGTAGATACCATAAATTTAAAGTTTTCTTTCTATTTGTACTTTTGGAGGGCCCAGGTGGTTTGTTAGTGCTTTAAATCCTGAGACTGACTTTTAAGCTCTTTCAAATTTGACTGGACAATCTTGATAGTACTGCTTTCAGAAAGTCACTTATAAATCTTAAGAATGAATGCAATTCTACTTTGGAGTTTAGTCTATTAAGATATATATAAATCTTAATAAAGATACTCTTTTATATTAAGACATATGTGTGTGTGCACACACATGAGTACATATATAATATTGTACTCATTCCCTGCCAAAAAGATTGAATAAAATATATTTAGCAAAAACTACGTGAAAAAGTGGGTAGGAAACAATTTAAGCTATACAGCTGTGTTTAAACTGTGTGGGTCCACTTAGATGTGTTTTTTTTTTTTTTTTTTTCCAAACAAACTTGGGTTAAAAATACAGTATTCCTGGGATGTGAAACCTCCAGATACGGAGGGCTGACTTTTCCTATAAGGCTGATTGTTGGACTTGAGTATGTGTGGATTTGGTTAGAGACCTGAGGTCCCGGATATACCAAGGAATGACCATATTTCATCTTTTGTGAGTTTCAGACTAATATAGTTAGCCCTTTGTGTCTGCAGTTTCACATCCGCAGATTTAACCAACCATGGTTTGAAAATGTAGTTAGGCCTATGATGGTTATGTCTGTACTGAACACACACAGACATTTTTCTCTTGTTATAAACAATACAGTATAATAACTATTTACATAGCATTTACCTTGTATTAGGTACCATAGGTAATGCAGAGTTGACAAAGTATATGGGAGGATGTGTGTAAATTATATGCAGATACTACCATTTTATATAACGGGTTTGAACATCCTTGGATTTTGGTATCCTCCGGGGTTGTCCTGGAATCAATCCAGTGAAGATAGCTTGTGACACCTTTATATCATGTCATATGTTTGTTTGACTATCCTACTATCCTGTTGCCAACCAGGGTTCAGGTTAACAAAGTGAAGCATCACAGGCAATAAGCTCTCATTCATTGCACTTATTGTAGTTTTGGTCCTTTGTATAGATGTCTGACTCTGTGTTATAATTTAAGGAACCAAAACACATTCTGTTTTCATCTATCTCTGCTTCTGAATCTGATATCATGTATAAAATTTCCACTTGTTCTTTTAGTTGAAGACTTCAACCATTGCTATTCAAACAGAAATGTTATGAGGCAAATTGATTGGCTTGCTAACCTGATAAACTAACTTGAATTAAGGTGTGAATTGGTCGTAATGGATTTTGGATCATAGGTACTAAAACCACATTTGAATAAATATGGTGCATTAAAATAGCAGGACACTGCAGGAATATATAGGAAAAGTTTTTATATGGAGAGGGAATCAAGAATTGTCTAGAGCGGGGTGTTTTGTTCAAGATTTTTATATGGAGAGGGAATCAAGAATGGTCTAGAGCAGAGTGTTTGTTCGAGTTTAGAAGATTTATTCATATAGTTTCTGGAAAAGGAAGAGCCCTTGAAGCTAGA